>NC_000012.12:74581340-74732855 GCF_000001405.40 Homo sapiens
GACATGTAAATCTAAAAATATGAAAAAAAATTATACAGCACAGCCTACACCATTACACTTATCAAAAACCAGAAACACATCACTACTGCAAATTTGAAAATTTAGAATACACCTGGGTATGGAATAAACAAAATGAAAAAGGCTTCTGGGTAGCTAAAATAGGTATTACAAAGCAATTGCTCCTCAGTTAATGCAATATTCTTGTAAATGGTACTATTTCTATTGTCTGGGATGAGGACTCACTGAGGCCACAAGGCTCAGGACAAAGGATAAAAAGTACACATCTGCATTCCAAAGAAAGGTGCTTACACATTCCAGAGGGCTTAGTAAGAGGTGGCCAATCTGATCAATATCAATACCCATTCTCAGTCTCCAGGCGATATATATATATATAAAGGCTAGCTACTCATTAGAGATAGAGACTTGATGGCATTTCCCCTCCTCCCTCTTCCAAAAACGCAGGAAGGATGCTCCTTCCTCTTTCAACTCAAAGGCTTGCTGAATAAACCTGAAATGGAAGGTGAGGAGAGAGGTGAAAAGGTAGGGGTGGGGTGGTAGTAGACCTGTCTTTTCCTGTTTTGTGGAACAAGGGTTTGTAAGTTTTGCAGTGGGCCAAGAGGACACCCTGAGAGATGCCCAAGAGGTTTGCTTCCCAGGGAAAGGAACCCAGGGTAGGAGCTTATGAGGATGATGTGTGAAGTCTCCTGGAGATTAAATCAACCCACAAAAAGAAATGACATATTGTTCATGGTCTCCAAAGAAACAGCCAATATGGTCCAGAAAATATGGGCACCTTCCAAAATTAAATGAGAAGCCCAAAGGGGGAAATTGTTGGGGTGGGAATGGGAGAAAGGGTATTTGGAACAAATATTGCAAAATAACAGACCAGATCTCATTCCTCCAGCCTACTCCTTCCTCGCCACTGGACCTATGGCTCTATAGCATAGGGTTAACTCTGAACTGGTGAGAGGTGAATGCTTTATATTGGATGCAAGATTAAACTTTTGATTCAGATTGAATTAGATATTTCTATATCTGAAAGTGACCCCCAAATTATAATATATCTCTGAAATGCCATTCAGGGCAGAAAAGAGACTTCAAGAGAGAAGGGTTAAGGTGATGAAGAGAAAAATTAAAGCTGTTTCTATTGTCCAGCCCATTATATAAATTGGTTTCACATGCATAAGAGAGACCCTTGGGTCCATACTTATAGAATATTTACTCTATTTTGCAAAGAAACTGATCATTTTTGCAATATTTATCATTTTAAAGAATATGACCCCATTAGACAGCAGGAGAATGCCTATTACTAACAGGTATGCTTGCAGCAGTGAGCAAGGACAGCTACCAGCCTCAAAGGAAGGGAGAAATCAGGAACACTGCAAAAAGTAGCTTTAAAAGCTATATAATCAAATCAGTATTCACCATTTTGCATTGCAGCAAACCTTCCTGTATCCCCCTCCTACACCCCATATCAAGCATACATAGTCAATTGGTTTCTGAGACAGTCTGATTCAGTAAATTTACAGTAAAGGCCAGGAATCTCAATCTTAATTTTAGTTCCTCTCAAAGTGATTTGCCTAGATTTTTCCAATTAAAAAAAAAATGAGAGCACTTCTGTTAATGATGTTAGTAATGCTGTTCTTGTGTCCCAAATGCCTCCAATTTTACTAGATATGTATCACTTAACAATGGGGATACAGTCTGATAAATGGGTCTTTAGGTGATTTCACTATTGTGTGAACATCATAGTATGTACTTACACAAAGCTAGATGGTATAGCCTACTATATACCTAGGCTATATGGTATAGCCTATTGCTCCTAGGCTACAAACCTGTACAGCATGTTACTGTACTGGATATTGTAGGCAATTGTAACACAGTGGTAAGTGTTTACATATCTTAATGTATCTAAACATGCCGGCACCCTTGTGTAGGGCACTTACCATGCATGCGGCTTGCAGGACTGGAAGTTGCTCTGAGTGAGATAACAAGCGAGTAGTGAATGAATGTCGACATCTTGGACATTACTGTACACTACTGTAGATTTATAAACACTGTACACTCAGGCTACACTAAATTTATTTATTTTTTCTTTTTTTAGTAATAAATTAAGATTAGCTTATTGAAACTTTTTAACTTTGTAATTTTTTTTTTTTTTGAGATGGAGTCTTTGCTCTATGCTGGAGTGTACAGTGGCACGATAACAGCTCACTGGAAACTCTGCCTCCTGGGTTCAAGTTCAAGCCATTCTCCTGCCTCAGCCTCTTGAGTAGCTGGGATTACAGGTGCCCTCTACCACGCCCAGCTAATTTTTGTATTTTTATTAGAGATGAGGTTTCATCATGCTGGCCAGGCTGGTCTTGAACTCCTGACTTCAAATGATCCAACTGTCTCGGCCTCCCAAAGTGCTGGGATTAGAGGTGTGAGCCACTGCGCCCGGCCAACTTTGTAACCTTTTAAATAACTTTTTGACTCTTGTAATAACAGCTTAAAACACAAACACATTGTACAGCTGACAAAAATATTGTCTTTCTTTCTTTATTCTAAACCTTTAATCTATTTTTAACACATTTTATTTTAATGTTTTTACTTTTTAAATTTTGTTATTATTAACAATTAAAATACACACATCAGCCTAGGCCTTCACAGAGTTAGGATCATCAAAGTCACTGTCTTTCACCTCCACATCTTTTCTCACTGGAAGGTCTGCAGGGGCAATAACAAGCATGGTGCTGTCATCTCCTGTGATAACAATGCCTTCTGGAATACCTCTTGAAGGACCTGCCTGATGTTGTTTTACAGTTAACTTTATTTTTTTCTTTTTAAAAATTTATTATTATTATTTAGAAACAGGGTCTCATCTTGGTTTGTCACCCATGCTGGAATGCAGTGGTGTGATCATAGCTCACTCCACTTGAAGTCCTAGCCTCCCACCTCGGCCTCCCAGAGTGCTGGCATTACAGGTGTGAGCCACTGCACCTGGCTTTAACTTTTTATAAGTAGGAGTACACTCTAGAATAATGATGAATAGTACAGTATAGTAAATACATAAACTAGTTATATAGTAGTTTATTATCAAGTATTGTGTCCTATGCATAATTGTATGTGCCATACTTTCATACAATTGGCAGAGCAGTAGCTTTGCCTACACCAGCACCACTGTAAACACATAAGCCATGCATTGTGCTGTCATGTTACAAAGGCTGGCTATAACAACAGGCGCTAGAAATTTTTCAGCTCCATTATAACCTTATGGGGCCACTGTAGCATAGGCAGTCCATACTGATTGAAACATTGTTATGCAGTGCAAGACTGTATCTTATAATCAGGCATAGGAAAAGCATAACACCATTTAAATAATGTTTATTCAAAATTAACTTTAAGAGTTTACTGCTCAGGATGCATATTGTCTGCTTTTCAGAAAACTCAGTCAGAATGAAGTGTTTCCTACATGCATCAAGTAGCCAAGATTTTTCAAGATGAATATTGCAAGTGTTATATAAGGGCTCATGTACTGAGAACCACAGAGTTCAAAGGAAGGCCAGTAGTCTGGGCCGGTATGACTGCTTCAGGAGCTTAGATTTAACTCCTGGACTTAAAGACTAGGTTAATGAAGAGATTTTGTAAACTTATGCAGCAGGGAACGTAGCATAAAATGAATTCAAAGGGGGAAGTAATTGTCCTTTGAGTCTCCAGGGTAGAGTAATCTTGTAGTGAAAAAGAAAATTTACACATTTTGCTTTCAGTGTGGGTCTGTAAAGGGAGGATAAGCTGGGGAAATGGCTGGGTTTATTTATGAGATTGTTTAAAGGATACATTACACAGAAGATAAACTAGAGAAATTGTATGGTCATGTTTGCCCATATACAATCAAATTCTCTGCACAATTGATGTATCCAATAAAATCATGAGATGTTACATGGACTGTACAAAATAGTAGAATAAGGGCATTTTGCTTGGAACATGTCCAGGAGAGAGTGTATGAAATAATTTACTGCATTGCCTAAACCCTGAAATCACAGATGTCTGAAAAAAAATGAAATGAGCTAGAAAAATTAAAGGAAAATACCGACAGCAAATCATGGAAACAAAAGTCCTTGCCCACGTGAGAGGGTTACAACTTCTGTTCATTGAATATTGTTGCTTTGCAGAGTTCTCAGTGCACAGTGAGTACTAGAAAAGTTTACCAAGGCTGATTATATTAGAAATATCTTCCCTCAACTTAGTAAATTAAACTCAATTCACTTAGACTGGGCACAATGGCTCATGTCTGTAATCCCAGTGCTTTGGGAGGCCAAGGCCGGAGAACCACTTGAGCCAGGAGTTCAAAAACCAGCTTGGGCATCACTGTGAGACCCTGTCTCTACTAAAAACTAAACACTAAAAAAAAAAAAAAAATAGTCCTGGTGGTGTTGCATGGCCATAGTGCACTCCCAGTTACTTGGGAGGCTGAAATGGGAGGAGTGCTTAAGCCCAGGAGTTTGAGGCTGCAGTGAGCTATGATCGCCCCACTGCACTCCAGTGTGAGTGCAGAATAAGACCTTTCTCTTAAAAATAAAATAAAGCATTGCCAGAGGGGCACTTAATTAAATATTTGTGGGTTAAAGTGAGTTCTTGCTTTACTTCAGAATTACTTTCCAAGGTAATGTACAGAAAATGAAGGTTGTTTAAATGTTATAAGACATCAATGCTTTTGTAGCCAATATTATTCACATATTTGTAAAATTAAAGAGTTGATGAAATTTGTTATTATGTCTAATATAAACTTTCACTGGAATTTCCTCCTCTTCCTAAACAATGTAGTCTTTTTTTATCTTCTACTTCACCTGTCAGATAAATGAACTTCAATGTCCTGCCCTATTGATCCTATTTGCCACTTCTAAGTAATTTTTCTCCAAGACCAAAGTATCCTGAATGTCTTCGTTTTTCTGATCACTCCATGTTCCTGTGCATGAGGCCTCTTCTACCTTTTACCTCATATTTTAGCTTTTCTTGCACAGATACATTGTATGTCCAGGCACGTTATAGATAATAGGCATACAACAACAGAGACAGAATGTCTGGCATCTGGAACTCACAAACTATTAAGTAAAATAGACACACAGCTGCTAGTGCCTCAGGCTAAGACAGAAAGGAACAGAAAACATAACAAATAAAAATAGGAAATCCCTCTACTCTCTGTTTCATAGGGCCTGGATTTCCTGCTCCTCTGACCAGAAAGAGAGGGCTCCTTTAGAAACCATTTCTGTGTGCAACTGGTACGTAGTTCCAGGTTTCGGGTTCTCTTTGATTCCAGATAAGAGAGGAAAAGAAAACAAGACAAAAACAGAAAACTCACTGCCAGTACATGAGTACTTTGAATTCCCTGTTCATTGCAGCCAACATTTACTTGGCATAGTCCTCAAATAGCTGCTTCATGCATATTGTCCAGGGTTTTTTGTTGTATTCAGTGGGAAAGTCAGAATTGTGTGTCCTTATTCCATTCACTGTGAACTCAAAACCCCAGTGAGCACAGCTTTGATAGCTCTCCAAGATCACATCCTCTGTAAAGTCCCTCTGAACTGTATCCAAACATTCCTGTTCCTGCTAGAGATGGCTATGTTGGCATTCTGTACTTCACTGGCCCCTAAAAATGACCACACTTTTAAAAACGGAGGACTTCATCAGTGCTCCTTGGATTTTCTCTACTATAGAAATCCAGCCTCCAAAGCATCTAGAACCTCACGGATAGTTGCAAGTTTAGCTTTGTTCTTACTACCTGGAGCCCTCTCTACCTGATACCTGGTGATGGTAGTTTTTTTTTTTTTTTTCTTTCTCAGGACTATCTCACCTCATGAAACCCAACTGTAAGGACATTCCAACTAATTTTATGTTAAAAATGAAATAATATCTTATTCTATGGATATAATTTATTTATATTTCCAGGCCCAAATAAATGAGCTATAGTTGTTGCCATTGCTACCAGACATCTAGTATTAAAACTGAATTGCTAAATTAAACATTTCTGTGTACATCATTGCATATCTGTTCTAATACATGTGTTGAATAAAGTCCTAAAATTGGAATCTGATTTCACAACTTTTAATATAAAAAGTCATATGTCATTTCCTCTCATTTTTCTCAAAATATTCTAAAAATAATATTTTAAGAATTTCTATTTACCAACACATTTTTTCTCTTTTTTTTTTTTTTTTTTTTTTAGTATTTATTGATCGTTCTTGGGTGTTTCTTGGAGAGGGGGATTTGGCAGGGTCATAGGACAATAGTGGAGGGAAGGTCAGCAGATAAACATGTGAACAAAGGTCTCTGGTTTTCCTAGGCAGAGGGCCCTGCCGCCTTCCGCAGTGTTTGTGTCCCTGGGTACTTGAGATTAGGGAGTGGTGATGACTGTTAAGGAGCATGCTGCCTTCAAGCATCTGTTTAACAAAGCACATCTTGCACTGCCCTTAATCCATTTAACCCTTAGTGGACACAGCACATGTTTCAGAGAGCACGGGGTTGGGGGTAAGGTTATAGATTAACAGCATCCCAAGGCAGAAGAATTATTCTTAGTACAGAACAAAATGGAGTCTCCTATGTGTACTTCTTTCTACACAGACACAGTAACAATCTGATCTCTCTTTCTTTTCCCCACATTTCCCCCTTTTCTATTAGACAAAACCGCCATCGTCATCATGGCCCGTTCTCAATGAGCTGTTGGGTACACCTCCGAGACGGGGTGGCAGCCAGGCAGAGGGGCTCCTCACTTCCCAGACGGGGCGGCCGGGCAGAGGAGCCCCCACCTCCCAGATGGGGCGGCGGCCGGGCGGGGGCTGCCCCCCACCTCCCGGACGGGTCGGCTGTGAGGAGACGCTCCTCACTTCCCGGAAGGGGGGGCTCCCGGGCAGAGGGGCTCCTCACTTCTCAGACGGGGCGGCCGGTCAGAGACGCTCCTCACCTCCCAGACGGGGTGGCAGCAGGGCAGAGACACTCCTCAGTTCCCGGACGCGGGGGGTCGCGACCAGGCAGAGGCGCTCCTCACATCCCAGATGGGGCGGCGGGGCAGAGGCGCTCCCCACATCCCAGACGATGGGCGGCCGGGCAGAGACGTTCCTCACTTCCTAGACGGGATGACGGCCGGGAAGAGGCACTCCTCACTTCCCAGACTGGGTGGCCGGGCAGAGACACTCCTCACTTCCTAGACGGGGTGGCGACCAGGCAGAGGCTACAATCTCGGCACTTTGGGAGGCCAAAGCAGGCGGCTGGGAGGTGGAGGTTGTAGCGAGCTGAGATCACGCCACTGCACTCCAGCCTGGGCAACATTGAGGACTGAGTGAGCGAGACTCCGTCTGCAATCCCAGCACCTCGGGAGGCCGAGGCTGGCAGATCACTCGCGGTCAGGAGCTGGAGACCAGCCCGGCCAACACTGCGAAACCCTGTCTCCACCAAAAAATACAAAAACCAGTCAGGCGTGGCGGCGCGCGCCTGCAATCCCAGGCACTCGGCAGGCTGAGGGAGGAGAATCAGGCAGGGAGGTTGCAGCAAGCCGAGATGGCGGCAGTACAGTCCAGCCTCGGCTCGGCATCAGAGGGAGACCGTGCAAAGAGGGAGAGGGAGAGGGAGAGGGGGACGGGGGGAGGGGGAGCGGGAGCGGGAGGGAGAGCCATTTTTTCTCATAATATTCTATACCTACAGCTCTGTTACCACCACTTATGAAACCGTATTGCAATAGCATATGTGCTTCTTTCTTCTTCATTCTTCTAGACCAATGCTGTTCAATCACAGTCTCTAAAGATGGAACTACTCATACGTTGTCCAATATGAGAGCCACTAGACATATATAGCTATAAACACTTGGAATATGGCTAGTGTAACAAAGGAACTCAACTTTAAGGGTTTTTTTTAAAATATTAACTAATTTTAATTTAAAATGTGGACCAGCCACAGTGTAATCCCAGCACTTTGGGAGGCTGAGCCTGGTGTATTGCTTGATCCCAAGAGTTTGAGACCAGTCTGGGCAACATAGGAAACCCTATCTCTATGAAAAATATAAAAATTAGCCGGGTATGGTGGTGCGCACTTGTAGTCCCAGCTATTTAAGAGGCTGAAGTGGGAGGATTGCTTGAGTCCGGCAGGTAGAGGCTGCAGTGAGCCCTAATTGCACCACTGCACTCCAGCCCGGGAGATAGAGCGAGACTCTGTTTAAAAAAATATGTATATATATTTTAATGTTCTTTGTGACTACAATATTAGAAAGCAAGTTTCTACCCTATGGGTTCTTAAGAATAACAATTCTACCTTTCATTTCTTTGTCTCTAGCATCAAGGATGGTCAAGGCAGTTTAGGTTCTGCTTGGTGATAACCCCAATTCATCCACGTTTTAACATTACAGAGTTTATTTCTTGCTCATCATACATATCCAGTGGGGGTTGGTTGGAGTTTTGCTCCCCACCCTTATTCAAGGTCTCAGGCTAATGTAAATTCAGACACCTTGTAGCTGCATCATTAGGAACACAAAAACACCATGGTTCCCATAGTTGGATGAAGTGTACATGGAGTTCAAACCACCTTTTCTATGTTTCACTAAAAACCCATAGGTTAGGATGAGTAACATGAATTCACCAGAATTCCTGGGGGCTGGGAAATGTGTAAGAATGCATTGTTATTAATGATTAGTAATTATTTCTGCCACACAATAAATCCAAATTCTTGTTGAATATTGAATAAGGAAACATTTTGGTTACCAGACAAGAGAAGTGCATTCCAGAGAAATGAAAAAGCAATGGTACTGAGGTGGTGAAGTAATTTTTTTAAAAAAGCCTATTCTGGGAAGATTTTTGGATAAGTATTAATTTAAAAAATTGGGCAAATAGAGTAGAATTAAAATGATGGATTCTAGGTTAAGGAATTTAAAATATACGTGGAAAACAACCACTACTTGATGATTTGTTCTTGACCATCAAATAATCAGAACTTTAAAAAATTTTTTAATTAAGATAAATATGAAAAGTTTTTTAATTAAGATAAATATGACCTTAGAAAAGAGGACAGTCTTCTTTCTCTAAGACAGCAAAGCAGAAAGAGAATATGGATGAAAATTTAGAGGAATTTTTGAGATGGTCAAGAAATGCGGGAGTAGAGATGCAAAATTAGCAATAACACTATGTCATATTGACCCTAATGATGTCCCAGGGCCTGCTTTAAACACTTTATGTCTTTTACTTTATTAAACACTTTAAAAAACATAGGTGATATATACTATAACTTCTCCCCAAATTAGAGATAAGGGAACTAAAGGATTAACAGAGCAGCTAAGGAGTTTATTAAAAAATATAGCTCAAAAGTGATGATTTCTTTGGTCTGCAAAGCAAGAGTATTGTATCTGCTGAGAAGAATAGATAAATAAAAGTTAGGAGTGAGCCCCTAAAAAATGGAGAAAAATTCCTGAATAGTTACTGCAAGGCATATAATAAGGCAATAAGCCCTCTTGGATTTAGTAAAAGCTATGTCCTACTGCTCCAATTCTCCACTGAAAAATTAGTAATTGGATGAAGAATTTTCAACAAAGATTAAAGGGGTTCCTAAATGCAGACCGAGCTGAGGTAACTTTTGTTTTATTCTGTTGGAGCTGATTGTTTTTGTGGAAATTCCAATGCCCTATGACTCTTTTGTTGTTATTTTTTACTCACATCTTAGCTAACGACCAGCCTCATAGGAAATTAAACCAGAGGTAATAATATGTTTAGTAATGATTTACTTTTGTTGATTGGTTTCTCAAATTGGTTATTACTTTTCATAATATTGAGAAAAATTTTATGGGGAAAGAAATTGTCATATTTAGACATAAAGCATTTATACCTTATTTGTGATATTTCGGTTCATGCCATCTCTGACTATCCGTTCACCATTTTCATGGATACTTGGAAGTTGAAGGTATTTGCCATACATAAAATATATACATCCTGCTATTTTAAGGTCTACAATATTTCTTTCTTCTAATTATTGCTAATATTTATTCATAACATTATTTATAAAAATATTTCTGGGGCAAATAGAATGCTAGTTACTGAAAGATATAGGCCCTTGGTTATATCATTTTGTTAGCTCTACAAAAGTCAGTAAAGACTCAGGAAAAATAAATGTCTCTGACAGTGCAAATTCACACAGTGGCACATCGATTAGTTGCGGGGCAGCAGTATATTTTGCTGAGAATAGATGACATCTGTAGAAAATCAAACAATTCAAGACAACAACTTTGAAAGTGCCATTTGAGTTTTCATCCATTTCCTAATGTCATGTTTCTCAAATTGCCTCATGTTCTCATTCGTGCTCTTTTTATGTTGCTATTTTGGAAATAGTAAGCAAAAATTAAACTACATTTTGAAATGTTACCTCAATTGAGAAAAGAAATTGTCATTATCCTTATCACAAGCACTGCTATTTATCAGTGCATTTGATTGTATAATGAGTCAGGCACTAGAGAAAGGTATTTTCAAGGATATAAGAGTATCTTTGCTACTCCTATAGAAAAAAGGGTTCTTTCTCATTTTCTGTGGTCTTGACATTCATGTACTCCATGAACCTTTTAAGTGTGTATGTGAATGGAATTGTATATGTGAATTTTTTGAGGGATAGAGGCTATATTATAGTAAGATATTGTTTGTAAAATCAGCTAAGATTATTTGCTGCCTTTAAACACAATTACTTGCTCATCCTTCCATCTCCCTCTCCCTTTCCATAAGCAGCTTAAACTCCAGGTAAACTGTTAGTGGCTATGGGCCTTCTCTTCACAAGAGAAACATGGAAACTCCAGATACATTAGGCAAGAATTTAAGCTAGATTCTAGCATACCCTTCCTGATATTTGAAAACGTGGGAAAGTATCTCCCACGGAGGGAGAATCTAGTTTTCATTTCATTGGATATTTCATTTGGGGCTGACTTTTACAAAATTCAGGTTTAGAAAAAGTAGCAACCATGCTCACAGTTCACGTATTTTTGTGGAGTGTTATGGGGGGAAAGGCAAACATTGGAGGTGGGAAGAAAAGAAAATAGAAAAAATGTATGTGTGTGTTATACTTAAACTAGCTCACTAGGGGAAGAAATAATGTAGGAAACATTTTTCTAAGAGTAAATAATATAGATTTCTAAAACATGTTTGTTGAGATACAATTTACACATAAAATAATCATTCTTTTAAAGGGTAGAGTTTGATGATTCTTGACAAATGTATGTAGTAGGGTAACCATCAAGACAATCAAGACCCAGACATTTATTTACATCACCCCAAAGTATTTCCTCATGCTCCTTGTCTCCCCATATCCAGACCCTGGCAAATAGTGATTCACTTTCTGGTTAATAATTTTGCCTTCTTAAAATATCATGGAAAGGGAAACATCTAGTTTCTAGTCATTTTTGTCTGGATTCTAGCATTGTTAGCACAATGCCTCTGAGAGTCACCCACGATATAGCATGTATCAATAGTTCATTCCTTTTTATTGTTGAGTGTTACACTATTGTATAAATATACCACAATGTGTTTATCTGTTCACTTAGTTGTTTGGGCCTGTTATGAATAAAATTGCTATTACCCACTGAGTAAAAGTCTTTGAACATTTGGTTTTATTTCTCTTAGATACATAAAAGTAAAATTCTGGGTTCCTTAGTCTATGTTTAACTTTATAAGAAATTGTCAAACTCTTTTCCAAACTAGCTTTACCATTTTCCATTTGCAACAGCAATGTGTGAGGGTTCTAGTTGTTCCACATCTTTCCTAGTAGTTAATGTTGCTAGGTATTTATTTGTTTGTTTATTTTGCCATGTTAGTGGGCATGCAATGGTAATTCACTGACATATTAATTTGCATTTCCATACAGTCTAATGATATTAAGCATCTTTGTATTACTTATTGACCATTCAACATTTTTTTGTGAAGTGTCTATTCAAACTGCTTGCTCACTATTATTTGAGTTTCCTTTTTACTGTTGTGTTGTTAAGAGTTATTTATATATTCTGGGTACAAATGTTTTATCAAATATTTATTTTACAAATATGTTTTTGCTATGTTTTGCAGAAACAAGTTTTAAAAAGAAGAAATGTATCAAGAATTCATTGTACTGAATTCCAAGCTTGCTCCAAAACTAAAATATTCTAGAGGGTCTGATATTGATGTAAGTACGGACATATACAATTTTGTTCTACATAGACTAAATAGAACTAAATTAATAATTCAGAAATAGTCTCAGACATTCATAGTCAGTTGATTTTCAACAAAATTGTCCAGGTATTTCAATGGCAATAGGACAGTCTTTTCAATGAATAATGCTGGATAAACTTGGTATCTATGTAGGAAAAAAAGTAAGCCAAACCTCATTCCACATTCAAAAATTAACTTGAAACATATAAGCCCCAAACAATAAAACTTCTAGAAGAAAACAAAGGAGAATATCATTGTGACCTTAGATTAGGCAAAGACTTGTTAGAGAAGACACAAAAATGCATAGGCTATAATATAATTAAAACAGTTTAAGAGCCCTTAGCCCAAAAAAGATATAGTTGTTATGAAGATTAAATGAATTAAGATGTGTTTTGCATATAGGATAAAACTTGACACTGTATACATGATAGCTTTTACTTAATAGCTATCACTGCTATAGTAAAGAAATTGGTGACCCAGGATTAAACAGACTTGGGCTTTAATACAGTAAAGTAGGAATAGAGTAGGTGCCATTTTCTCTCTAATTTTCTTTCAAGTAAAATGTGTCATGAAACACTTGTGTATAGTGGAAAATAGCAAATTTTTATTATTCACAAATAATGATTCATTAAATCATTTAATGTCCCCACTATGTGTAAGTCACTGTAAGTAAATGAAGGAAGACACAATTCCTATCCTAGAGACTTTCACAATATTTCACAAAATACTTAACGTTATAACTTTTACATTTATAATACAATTACCCATGCATCATCGAATTATTTAATTTTTTTCTAAAAAGGGAGTATATTATATAATTTTGCAATTCTTCAACCATCAACAACATTTACACGGATCTAGGTGTCTCATAAGGTAAATATTATTGAATAAACTTTATTATTTTCCCTTTATTTTTACACTTCAACTTTTGTCATAATGTGGATTACCCTTGTGGTTTGTTCTACGGGCAAGACATAATATGTTGTTAGGTCTTTATAAATTTGTAATTCCAAGGAGCCGATATCTTCCCATTTTTTTTTCCAGAGAAGGGGTTTTACTCTGTCACCCAGGCTGGAGTGAGTGAGTGTGCAGTGGTGGAATCTCAGCTCACTGCAACCTCCACCTCCCAGGCTTAAGGGATCCACCGACCTCGGCCTCCCAAAATGCTGGGTTTAGAAATGTGAGCCACTAGGCCCAGTAAAGACATTTTTTTTAAAAATCTAGCTTTGAAACTGCAATTGTTTAACAGCCCAGATATTATTATCTTTAGGTTTTAGATGAGGTACTTTTAAAGATACACCTCTTGACTCTAGGAATAAAAGTGGGCAGAACTTTCACTATACCCAGGTATTCTGGAGAAAAGAGCTGTGAAGGTCCTCCTTTCAAATTTTGCTTGTGGCTAAAGTGATCAAAGAGGTAAAGGCAGTCAATCTAGGAAACAAAATCCCAGGTATAAATCTCTCCTTGTGTTTTTTTCCAATTTGGTACAAGATCTCTTGTTACAACCCCAAAGTGCCTAAGATCTAAGGTGGAGGAAGCTCTCTGCTTCAGGCCTCAGGGAAGGCTCCCTGGTTTGCAGGTATTCTTGCCCTTAAGAAAAGAAAACAGGCACTCCTACATAGTTAATCTTTGCCGATTTGGGCTGTGTACTAGGATTTGAGATCAAAGTCTTATTATATTTCTTAGTTTAGCTTTGGCAACTTTATGGGGTGAAGTGAAAGATCAGATAAATATTGGATTACATCCCTCTGCCTTTAGGTCCAATAGCACTTTAATCTTGCAGCCTTTATTCCCAGTATTAGTGGTCTGATTTATGTAATTTCATGTCTTTTTTAAATTACATACTTCACATGGGCAGCTGCTGTCTTAATTCTCCCAGAAACTTACCTAGAAATTACTCTTATGTTAAGTTCCATATATTCCCCAGCACTGTCTGATACCTAAGTATACCTTAACCTTGGGAAACTGAAATAGTGTTTATGAATAAACCTTGAGGCTTTTGAGCGCCTGGAGGTCCTGGAGAATTGGGAGGTCTTCAGTCATGGGTGAAGGCTGAAGCAGCAACCGAAAGGTTAAGTACAAAGCTGTTTATAATCTCTCTTCACTGCACATTTCTAGCTGAAGGCAATGCAGCTAGAACACAGATTTCATAGAAAACTTCGATGAAGCAGTGTCATAAGATGAAGGAAATATTGTTTCAGCAATAACATTCATCACTAACTAATAATTCATCACTAACTAACATTCATCACTAACCTCTCTGGCTTTCCTGTTAATCCTGTTGAAACTAAAGTGTATTTAAAAATTCATTACTTCCAGCTTTATTGATCCTGCATTTCTCATCTGTCCTTGTTTTTCAACCAGGCAGTCATCTCACTCATCCATTCAGCATATACAGGTTGAGTTCCAGGTGCTATATTTAGTGTCTAGAATATTAAAATTAAAACAAACTCCCTTGAGTTGCCTCCATTTGTCACTAAAGTGATTGTTTAAACTATTGCTTTAGAGACAAGCAGATAAACAGACTGTTCCAAGTGTAAAAATAGTACAAAGTGGCTGGGAGGACAGAGGAGAGACACCTAACCTAGATACATTGAACTACAGGCATGAAAACCTGTATCAAATAGTGCAAATTCCCATGTGAGATCTTTTCAAGACAGTCTTTGTTTAACCCTATATTCCTGAAAAGTTCTTGATAGTGTATTTGGAGACTCAATTTTTGTGGAGTTTAAATTTGGAAGTTGTTGATGGGATAGTAAGAACTTTAATAGCTACTGCTCGGGAAAATTAAGAATATTCTTATATAGAGGATTTGCAATTACCAACTCAACTGCCCAATACTAAGTATTGAGGACAGTGATTAAACTCATAGGACTCTATCTCTTAACAAATAAATAACTTTAAGAATGAGATCAATTGACAGAAGCTGTGAATATCGACATGACTAGTCAAAAGGATTTATATTACTAATTTATATACAAAAGAATTTTAATGTTATTCTTAGAAATGAAATGTATACAATATAATGTAGCATTCATTATAGAATATATTTATGAATTAGCCCAAATGTAGATATTAAAAATGAATGAGATTATGATTAATGATGTAAAAATATCTCATAAAGATAAAAAAACTGAATGCAATACATTAATACTCTCAAAAAGTTCATCCTTATTGGCTAAATCAGTAGAGATTCAGTGGGATATTATACTTAATGTTCTTTCTATGAGGTGTGAAAAGATACTAGAAACACTGGACATTCATGAAAGTTTCTAAATTTTCTGATGAACTAGTTGGCAATACTCATCCTCCTATGTATATTCTACCTTAATCAGTAATCCTAAGATGTGTTAAAATAATTTGAACATTTAGAAATGGAAATTTCTATACAGCCAAATTTCTACTTTTTAAAATCCTGGCTTTTTCAGACAATAATAGCTACATTATTATTATTATTATTTTACAATAAAGTGTTTGGAACCAAACTATGCCATTTTTCTCAACTTAAAATATCTCCTTCACACGACAATTTATTCTATAACAGAGCAATCAAATAATATTCACAAATCACATATTTAATCTATGTTTGTCACTCTCCTATTCAAAATTATCCATATTTTCTGTTCTCAAAGGAACCAAGTCCCTGTTTTGTAAACTCACTTTCAAGATCTTTATGATTTGAACCCAACCCCCTTTAAAAGCTTTATCTCTTATCACTACTCAGCATATCATCCTCTATCCAGAAACATAAAAAGTCTTCTTATTCCCCCATGAATATTCACTATGATTTTTCCTCCTATAGTCTTGATTTTGTCTTTTTGAAGTGTCTTCCTTGTCTATCTGTCTATTAAAATTCTAGTTCCTTTTTAATCTAAAAAAAAAAAGATTTTTACTCCTCAATGCTTGTGTAACTATCTGCAGGCAGAAATCATCTTATAAAATATTTTAATATGCCCATTTTTATACATGGTTCAATATGCTACAAAGTTTGTAGTTCAGTGAGAAAAGAAAATGTTTTCTTTCCAAACACAGAAAATTAACTAAGTTTTTGAATGTTTGAATTATAATTTAGCAGGTCAGTTGAGTGAACTTTGGAGTCAAAATAAATAGGTTTTCATCTTGGCTTCATCCTTTCTAGCTGTATTTCCTTGGACAAGTTATTTTACTTTGCTAGGCTCTAGTAGTCCAATTGAAATAGGTTTGATATCAATCCATACTTCATAAGGTTTTAAAAAAAATTAAATTAGCGAATACAGCTAGCGTGTTTAGTAGTGTTGACACATTGTAAACAGTGAATGCAACTTATTGAGTAATTAAGTGGAAGATAACATACTGCTAAATGAGTTGTCTTTGGGCATTTTTTAGGTATATATGGGAGCTTCGTCTAAACTATTTTCTCAGATAGTCAATACCATTATGATATTATCAAACTAATTTTACAATAGGGTCAGTAAAAAAGTCTCCCTTATAAACTTTTGTAATAATTACAGTACTTGAACTATTAATTTTGTATCCATTTCAACAGATTGATTCTAAATCTTTAAAATGAGCCTGTAAATTTCTACCTTCCCAGCACTCTGCCAAAATAGCATTTGATCATTTAGGATGAGCATTTTTAGGATTTCTGCCAATGAAATACAGTGACAATGTTGTGGATCCTTTAAATGCCTGTGGCTGTTAAACTTTGCCCAATTGGTCCAATATTGCTGTAAACATAGGCAATAATATAGACGTTATCAAGAAAACAAATAGAATTAAAAGAAAAAAGAGATACTATTCGTGAAATAGTTACGATTAATTCCCTATACAGATTAATAGCATACAAACTTAAAGTAAGATATTCAATCCTTCTCAGCTCAGTTGTAAATTCGTTGTTCTAAACTACAAATTTGCTTTCTTCATCTTATTAATTTCTCAAAAGCTATAATCAATTTACATTCAAAGTTTTAAAAATAGTATACTCAGGAGGCTGAGGCAGGAGAACCACTTGAACCCAGGAGGTGGAGGTTGTGAGGCAGGAGAATCGCTTGAACCCAGGAGGTGGCGGTTTTGGTGAGCCAAGGTTGTGCCATTATAGTCAAGCCTGGGCAACAAAAGCGAAACTCCATCTCAAAAAAAAAAAAATTTATTTGCCTTTTAGTGACTTCTTGTAATCCTTAATCCTCCATCCATACTTTATGCACCTATGCTTTGATAAGGATTATAACATTCAAGACAAAAAAAAAAAAAAACAGACTTCCTATTCACATTGAATTGCAAAGAAATATACTTGAGTTAAGCAGAAGATTTAAAAATAAGTTCATAAGAAATTTGGTACTTACCTTCTACTCAAATCTTGGTTTTTGGTTACTTGCATGTTCAGTTAAACTTCAAAGGATGACAGAATATTCTTCATTAAATTATACTCTTCAAGATAGATATCATGACTGGGAAAATGTGCTTTTGAAAATGCTGTAGTGTTAGTGATTTTTTTTTGTGAGTGAGTAATTATGTGTCACCATTTTGGTCACAAAGATAATTTTGCTTTCCACTTCTAGGTAGAATGCTAAGATACTGATTCATATCAGCTTATTAAATTCCACAGAAGAAAAAGTACTTTGTATTTCCAAAACAGAAAGAAGTTTCCTGTCTTCAAATGAGATTTCATGTTTCTTTTTAAAATTAGATTTCTAACTTAGAGTTATGTTAAAGTTTCCCTAACAAAAGTTATTTAATTAAAAAAAAATTTCTACTTTCTAATTATTTTTTAGACTTTCACTGAGCTTTCCTAAAAGGCACCAAAAGATTGAATGCAAGACAATATATAATAGCAGAGTTTCCTTATCTCTCTGGAGTGATGGGCTGTCAGTGTAATCTTAGACAGGGAAGTGTGTGTGTGTGTGTGTGTGTATGTGTGTGTGTGTGTCTTTTGGAGAAAGAGAATTGATACTGGAGAAGTGAGGCATTACTATAAAGATACCTGAAAATGTGAAAGTGCTTTTGGAATTGGGTAATGGACAGAGGTCAAAAGAGTTTGGAGGCTTTAAAAGAAGACAGGGAGATGAGAAAAAGTTTGGAACTTCCTAGAGACTTGTTGAGTGGTTGTGACCAAAATGCTGATAGTGTTATCGACAGTGAAGTCCAGGCTAAGGTGGTCTCACATGGAAGTGAGAAACTTATTGGGAACTGGAGTAAAGGTCACTCTTGCTATGTTTTACCAAAGAGACTGATGGCATTGTGCCCCGCTTTAGAGATCTGTGGAACTTTGAACTTGAGAGAGATGATTTAGGGTATCTGGTGGAAAAAATTTCTAAGCAGCAAAGTATTCAAGATGTGGCTGGCAGCTTTTAAAAGCCTACACTCATTTGCATAAACAAACAGATGACCTGAAACTAGAACTTATATTTAAAATGGAAGCAAAGCATAAAAGTTTAGAAAATTTGCAGCCCAACCATGCAGTAGAAAGGAAAAACTCATTTTCTGAGGAGGAATTCAAGGCTGCAGAAATTTGCATAAGTAAAGAAGAACAGCTGAATGTTAATAGCCAAGACAATAGGGAAAATGCCTCCAGAGTATTTCAGAGACATTTGTGACAGTCCCTCCCATCACAGGCCTGGAGGCCCAGGAGGGAAAAATGTTTTCATGGGCTGGGCCCAGGCCCTTCTGCTCTGTGCAGCCTCAA
Organism: Homo sapiens; assembly: GCF_000001405.40. Taxonomy (NCBI): domain Eukaryota; kingdom Metazoa; phylum Chordata; class Mammalia; order Primates; family Hominidae; genus Homo; species Homo sapiens. The sequence goes on from NC_000012.12 coordinate 74,600,178, forward strand.
GGCATGGCACCCTGCATCCCAGCTGCTCCAGCTGTGGATGAAAGGGGCCAAGGTACAGCTTGGGCCGTTGCTTCAGCAGATGCTAGCCCCAGGCCTTGGTGGCTTCAATGTGGTGTTGGGTCCATGAGTGCACAGAAGGCAAGAGTTGAGGTTTGGAAGCCTCCACCTAGATTTCAGAGGATATATGAAAACGCCTGAATGCTCAAGCAAAAGTCTGCTGCAGGGATTGGGCTCTCATGGAGAATATCTACTAGGGCAGTGTGGAGGGAAAATGTAGGGTTGAGCCCTCACAGTGTCCTCACTGTGACACTACCTAGTGGAACTGTGACACTACCTAGTGGAACTGTGAGAAGAGGGTCACTGTCCTGTAGACCCCAGAATGGTAGATCCACTGACAGCTTGCACTGTGGACTTGGAAAAGTCATAGGCACTCAATACCAGCCTGTGAAAGCAGCTGTGAGGGCACTACCCTGAAAAGCCACAGAGGTAGAGCTGCCCAAGATGGTGGGAGTGGATGTATGTATTAGTCCATTAGAAAGCCCTGGATGTATGTATTAGTCAGGGTTCTCTAGAGAGACAGAACTAATAGGATAGGTGTATATATAAAGGGGAGTTTATTAAGGAGTATTGACTCACACAATCACAACATGGGGTACCACAATTGGCCATCTGCAAGCTGAAGAGCAAGGAAGCCAGTCTGAATCCCAAGGCTGAAGAACTTGGGATCCAATGTTCAAGGGCACAAAGCATTCAGCACAGGAGCAAGTTGTAGACCAGAAGAGTAAACCAGCCTAATCTTTTCATGTTCTTCTGCCTGCTTTTATTCTGGCCATGTTTGGAGCTGATAAGATTGTGCTCACCCAGATTGAGGGTGGGTCTGCCTTTCCCAGTCCACTGACTCAAATGTTAATCTCCTTTGGCAACACCCTCACAGACACACCCAGGAACAATACTTGGCATTCTTTAAACCAACCAAATTGGCACTCAATGTTAATCATCACAATGTGAGACATGGAACAAAAGGAGATGATTTTGGAGCTTTTAGAATTACAGCTGCCCTGCTGAATTTAGACTTGCATAGGGCCTACAGCCCCTTTGTTTTAGCCAATTTCTCCTTTTTGGAATGGGAGCCTTTATCCAATGCCTCTACTCCCATTGTATCTTGGAAGTAACTAACTTGTTTTTTATTTTATAGACTCACAAGCAGAATGGACTTTCCTTGTCTCAGATGAAACTTTGGACTTGGACTTTTGAGTTAATGCTGGAATGAATTAAGACTTTAAGAGATTGTTGGGAAGGCATGATTGCATTTTGAAATGTGAGCAGTGCATGAGATCTAGATGTGGACACAGAGCCAAACCGTATCAGAGACTATGTTATTTTCAAGTTTGTAATAGCTAGAAGGAGGAGCGCTGGGCATGTAATAAATGTACCTCAAATTTTAAAAAGATGAGCTACAAAAGTTGAGAATAAACAAACTGATATTTGCCAAAAGTTATAAAAATATTTATCTGTAACTCACAACTCCAACTAAAATGCAAATTATCCTTTTTCCATTTGATGGATTATTTTTTGAAGAATGAACCAAATAGTAAGATTTTCATCAAAAATTAAATAAAACTAAACAGCAGAATTTAAAGCATTTTAAACAAATAGCATGTAAATCAAAACATTAATGAAGTAATTCATTAACTGGTGTCATGCTTCAAATTAGAAGGCATTTTTAGAAAGAATCATTCTTACCAAAAAAGTGAAAGAGTTAAACAAGGTAACAACAGCAACAACAAAAAACAGCAATCTAATGTTCCCTGAATGCCCAAGGGTGGGTATTTACACACTATGGATATTTGGAATGGTCTAGTGGATTGCTACACACTATGGATATTTGGAATGGTCTAGTGAATTGCTTACACACTATGGATATTTGGAATGGTCTAGTGGATTGCTATAAGGCTATTCTCTTTTGTCATTTTCAACAAGGAATAAATTCGACAGACAGTGTCATCAATATCAGTACTAAAAACTTCCCCTATCAGCAAACTGATCTTGTTGCTACTGCTACTGCAATTTACCTTTTATGCCTCATTACTTTATTTAGAAAAATGGACACATACTGTTTAACCTTTGGAGAAAGAGACTATGTCATTTCCAAATTTGTGATAGTTAGAAGGAGAGATGCTGAGCACATAATAAATGTACCTTAAACTTGAAAAAGGTGGATACAAAAGTTGAGAATAAAGATAGGCATGAACTGAGACTCTGAGAGTAATGTCAGATTATTGGGATTGATGTAGATGAAGAATGCTCTGATAGCTCCCTTGAGCTCAGATTTTAAAGGCATATTTGAAAATACAGGATAAGGAGAAATAAATAAACAAGAAGGAAAAATATTATTTTAGTAAAATAAAAGCTGAATTGAAGAATAATCTGTAATATTAAAATATTGCTTAAAACTAGACAGATTAGCCTAAGAGTAAAATACATTAATTCTGGAGTTAACTTCCAGGATTAGCATTTTAGCTTTTCCTCTTTTGCTACATAATCTTAAGCAAGTTAGCAAACTTCTCTGAGCCTATTTTGCTGATATGCAAATATGGGGGGCAATACTACAACTTTTCCTTTAGCATTAATATGAATATGATATGAGATGTAAATGAATCAACAATCTTGCAAACTGCACAATAAATGTTATTACTATTTAAGAAAAACACTTTAACATTTAATTTTTTTTATAAAGGGGAATGCCATAGCTTGGTTAGTAATATCAAAGAAATATCATACTATAAAAGTAAACAGGAAAGAAAGACTTTATCAAAGGCTAATGTAATCAAAGACAAAGGCTCAATTCAACTCCCCTGTAACTAAAGGAGGAAGAATGTTTAAGTGGAAAAGTACTGCAAGACTTTAGCAGAGAGTGTGGTCAATGTGATTAGATCATCTGTGTTTGCCAATTGGCACTTATTGAAGTCAGTCTCTCCATAGAGACTGAAAGACAGAAGTCTTATATTCCTTGATTTAAGAGGGATGGCCCCCAGGTTTTTGAGAAAGACATTCCTGGCTTTCATAACCTACAAGTCACATTTAGCTAACATCCAAATTAACCTGTCTAGGGTTAGGTCTTCTCATTCATGGAAGTATCCTGTCTCTAAGTAAAGAATCTTATCATGAATTTCTCAAATTGTTGATGTACTGATTAATGTATGACCTACTGATGCTGGAAATTATGCTGAATTGTTTTTGAATCATGAAGTTTTACTTATTTTTTTCTGAGTCATGAAATTTTACTGGTTGTCTTGCATGTAGATATCTTAGCCCATATGTTGCACTCTGTAGCCAATGATTATAGCCTCTGTATTGTACCCTCCAATGAACAAGGATAATTCTGATATGAGAAGTCCCCTTCTCTTCTCCTAAACTTTCTTATAAAAGCGTTCCAACTTGTAGCAGACTCTGGGATGTTTTCAACTTTGTTGGTGTGTCTTTCCAGTTCGATTCTCACATTTGGCTTATGGTGAAACTTTATCAAATTATTTATGCCTCAACAGGCTTAATTTTCAGTCCACAGCTTGTAAAACTGATACGAGGGAAAGGAAGGTTAGGGACGTTTATTCAGGAAGAAACCTGCCTAAAGTTTAATCAAGCTGAGAGAAAAGTTAAGGCTATCTTGGTTATAACTAGCAGTGAGTAATTCAATGCTTTTTTAGATAACATTTGTGATCATGAAACAGTCTCATATATTCAGTCTGCGGAAACATTATTCAGAGGGAATTGAATTCCAAAATATGTGCACTAATTTAGGTTTCTTTCTAGCTGTTCCAAATGAAGTTTAAGATTTTATACTTAGAGGAATTAAATTCCAGGGCACTGAAAAAAGAATTTAATGGGAAGTTACTACCATTAGCCTCATAATCATGAGGAATTTGAAGGCGAGAGAAAAAAATGTGAACCCACACCTTTCACAAAGTTAGAGGAATTACAGTCAATACTAGTGACATTAATATTAAACATGGAAAAAACTTATGAATTAATTCTCTAACAGCATTGTGTGTGCACTTAGAATAGAGATAACTGGTAAACCTCAGACATGATCTTATAAATTGCTAAGATTTATATGGATTATAAAGCTAATAGCTCAGGGGAATGATGTAGTGGTCTCAAATTCAAATGTTTTCAGGGGCGAGACAATGAGAATACATGTGGTGAAGTTTTATGTGTAAATCAATAAGGAGTTCAAAGGCCTGTGGAAAGGGGAGAATGCATGCCTCTCCTAAAGTCATTGAATTTCATTCTTCTAAACCCTTGAAGTCCAAACAGTGTATGTCTACTATGAACTCCAACTGAGCCTAGTTTGATATCCTCAATTATAACCTGAATTTTGTTATGAATTTGATTAATGTTTATCAAAATATTATGTGGACTTAATAAATTTATATTTGAAATAAAGTTAGGAGAATTGATCACTGGTAAAATACTGCATAGAAAGATTACTGAATAACTTATCTATATTAAGTAGTAAAACATGTTTGCTTCCATGTCCAAAAGTTCTTGTTAAAAATCTAAAGCATTTGAAAGACATAGTTTAAGAAGGAATAGCAAAGAATTTGAATGGGATAATATAAAATGATCATATCAAGTTTGAAGTTAGAGTAAACTTAAGAAGAATTTTAAGATGGATAATGATGGAAGTCTTGAAATTAAGTCCAAAAATAAACTGAAAAGTACAATATAAGGAAATACAACTTGACTCCATGGAAAACAAAGAACCAGAATTTATAGTTGTTTGTGAGCTTAATAAAAGACAGTAGTATAGAACCATTGCCACAAATTCAAGAAGGCATTCCTAGATTTCATTACCCAGAAAACAAAAATAATTTAAGAACATGGCAAATGACAGAACTGCTCTCTCTCTGGTGGGCAAAACCTAAACTTACATTCAGTAAGAGAAGCCCAGAAAAGAGTTACTAAGGTGGTGAAGAACCCCAATTTATATCAAATGAAAGCCCACTGAATAAATATTAGATAAAAGATAAGATTCATAAAATTCTTAAGTATTTTGAAACACTTGTCTTTTGAATATTTAAAGCTTTTATGTGCAATAAAGCATAATCATATTATGTATTACTTTATAAAACAAACATTCAAAAATGGGGAAAATTTTCAATACAATAACAAATAACTTTGTTTCTAATAACAAAACTTTCACAAAACAAATAGTCTTCAGAGACAAAATAATTTTTTAAGCCTAGAAATGTTCACGATTTAACCAATTCTGCGCTATTTTGAGAAAGGTAGTATATCATCAGATTAAGGTCGGATTATGTTGTCTTCTCCGTTCATGAGATTCTAGTATATTATGAATGATCTTTCATGCAAGCCCATCAGATTCAACAGATAAATTCAATGTGCAAGCAAAAATGTCTATGGGGAACTTCCTGTAGATTTTTCAAAGAAAGTGAGCTTCATTTTGATTTGGGAAATTATGATTTTTTTCAATTGTGTAAGCAAAAGTTTTAAAACAAACACAACAAAAATCAAGTTACTTATAAAACAAGAACATTGACTTTGAGAGGCAGCTTGTATTTGAGTACGATTTCTGCTACTTGCATTAGTCTACATAAATTGGTGAGGTTTTTGGGGCTCAGCTTAATCAAACATGAAATCGCAATAAAGCCTATTACATGATGCTTTTCATGATGATTAAATAACTAAAAATTGTAGCATATGTTTCTCTGTTATTGACATATTATTGATTTTCAGTAAATTAAATAAAATGTGTATAGACAAGTCATGTATTAAAATCCCTGTATTAGATAATTGAGGTTCAAGGAAACATTCCCAATTTTAGATCTAATATTTAGAATAGCCAGAACTAGAACTTGGATTTCTTACTCCTGGCTTCTGTTCCTTACACATCAACACACTTTTCACTCATAAGGAAAACTAAAGTAAAAAAAGGGGAATGATGCTGTTTGAAGAGGTATAACACAAATATAGTGTGTTATCAGCATGATCGATTAAAGCAAAATTTCTGTATTGTGGGGAATTAGTCATTATTAGCAGCAACTATTGTAAAAACGATGACTCTCACCTGAATTAAAAATCATAACAATAATGATTGCTTTCTTTATCAGGTAGCTCTTTTTCTCCAGGTGTATTCACTTTTAATAAGTAGAAAATGTCATTAAATTGAAAATTGAACCAGCAAATTCCTTTTAATCTTTGGTTCCCTAGCTACCTCACTGATTTACAACAGTCTTGGGCATCCGTTGGCCTTTCAATGTAATCCCATCATAAGAAAAAGATTATATTCCTTTCTACTGAACAAATTTTAATGCCACTGTGCAAGTAATTGAAGAAACAAGAATGAATGTGATGATCTTCGCTTTCATTAAACATTCAATAATGATTAGGAAGACAGTAAAGTACACAAACACTCAGCAGATAGATGAATAGATAGATAAATATAGATCATTATGAGGATGATGAAGATAGACTATTAGAAAATAGGGGGCCGGGCGCGGTGGCTCATGCCTGTAATCCCAGCACTTTGGGAGGCCAAGGCTGGCGGATCACCTAAGGTCAGGATTTCGAGACCAGCCTGGCGAACATGATGAAACCCCATCTCTACAAAAATACAGAAATTATCCGGGCATGATGGCATGTGCCTGTAATCACAGCTACTTGGGAGGCTGAGGCAGGAGAATCACTTGAACCTGGGAGGTGGAGGTTGCAGTGAGCCGAGATCACACCATTGCACTCCAGCCTGAGTGACAGAGCAACAGTGCGAAACTCTGTCTCAAAAACAAACAAACAAACAAAAAACCGAAATTTCAGTTGAAGAGAAGGAATAAGTTTGAAAGATCTATTGTATAACATGGTGACTTTAGTTAATAATAATGTGTTGTATTCTTGAAATTTTTAAGATTTTGAGAATCTCATCACAAAAAAAGATTAGGATGTGAAATAATACAGATGTTAATTAGCTCAAGTTAGCCATTTCACAATGTATACATATTTCAGAAACATGTTGTACATGACAAATACCTGGTATCCAATTTTTGTCAATTAAAATAAATAATTTTAAAAAGAAAATAGGGGAGAATTAAAGCTACTAAGGTAACTAAGAAAATGGTCAGAAATTATATTCCAAACTATGACACTGGAACCATAATATGCACAGCATTTTTATCTCATTCCTGTACACCAGAGAATGATAGTATAATTTAGATTATTTGATGCCAAGAAGTAGTCTTATGTAATCAAGTATTCAGAATTAACATTATACAAGGTGAAATGAAGTATTCTACAAGACAGTACACTGGAATGAACATGAACTTTGGAGGACATGTCTGCGTATGAGTCCTGGTATGATACTCATGAGCCATGAGAACTGAAGAAAAGTATGTTATCTTCTAGCCTAATTACCTTCATCTATAAGATAGACATGATATGTATTATGCAGGTTATTGGGAGGATTAAGTGAGGTAATATTTGTAATGTACTGTGCCTGGCATAAAGATAGATATGTTTTATTTTCCTGATTGATACTTTTTATTGTCTCAATGGCTGTCATTCTTAGGAAATATGTTTAGTTCAAATTTTACAATAAGACAAATTGTAAAAATATGATTAAAATAAAAAGTTCTTTTTAAATGAATAATTCCTTATGCCTCATGGAAGAACTCTTTTTGTGGGTTCCATTTCTTTAACTTGTTAGTACAGTATACAGAGTGCCTTGAAAGATCTCATCTTATACAAAATTATCTTTATTAGTGCTTGTATCACTGTGTTCATAAGTGCTCACATTACATTTCAGTTACTCTATCTGTATAAGCATTCCAAACTTGAGTTAATCTTTAGGAATGAACACTAACATCTGTGGGGCTGTTGCATTGCTAGTTATGTTCATATATGGTTCTAAGATTTTTATAGAATTTACACATAATTTTTCCATTTTGCTATAATTTTTAAATTTTTGATTTCTTTTAATTATATAAAAAATTACAAAACCAAGACATTTCTTAAAGTAGAAAATAAAAAGTAGATGTGCTTATAATTGCCACATCCCAGTTAAGTTATTGCATCCAGAAGTCATGTCTCAGTGGCATTTGAAAGACAGAAGCTTTCAATATTCATGATATTCATTTGACAAAATGAATTAAAGACAAGATAAAATGAAGATACGTTATAAGCCTGGAGGTCTTCTGAGTGACAGAGTCTGCAATCAACTAAATGACTAGTCAAAGGAAAGACAAAAGAGAAAGGAAAGCCCGTCTTACAGCTTGTACTGTGTGTTTCTTCTAAGTCTGGCAATAAAGTGAGAATATTGCTTCTGTATTCATTAATTATTTATCACTAGCTCTCCAAATCTCTGAACAATTTCTGTTGAAGGAACTACAATACACATGGAGTTATTCATCAAATGCTGATGTTAGCACATTCTCTTTAAGGCTATAAACACGAATGCCAGCTGTCCAGTGAGAATCAGCAGAGTTCTGATTCATTAAAAGCAGTGAATTTCTCCATATATTGCAAAGAGAAAGAATATCTGATTCTGGTGAATTAACAGGGATAAAAAATATTTATTGCCACTTGCAGGAAAAGGTTTAAAGATATTATAGCTAGGGTGGACAATGTAAAAAAATATGTCTATTGGAGAAATGAAATAAAGATAGGCAAAAAAACAATTCTGATGTTTACATTGCAGTGTAACTCAAACTACTATGCCTTTGACTTATTCAGGCTCCTTCTACTAATTATGCAAAATCAAAGCTAAAAATGCCCTTCATATCTAGAAGTTAAAAAGTAAGATTTTTCTAATAAATCTTGATTTTATTTATTTATTTATTTTTGAGGCAGGGTCTTACTCTGTCACCCAGACTGGAGTTCATTGGTGTGATCACTGCTCACTACAGCCTCAACTATATGGGCCCAAGTGATTCTCCTCCTTCAGCCTCCCAAATAGCTGGGACTACAGGCACATGCCACCACGTCCGGCTAATTTTTGTACTTTTTGTAGAGATGGGGTTTCACCATGTTGCCCAGGCTAGTCTCGAACTCCTGGGCTCAAGAAATCCGCCCCGCCTTGGCCTCCCAAAGTGCCGGGATTACAGGGGTGAGCCACCGTGGCCAATTTTTAAGTTAATGAAATATATCTGAATGCAATTTAGTTACCAGCATAATAGCAATTCCTTATCTATTTCCCATTTCCTTCAAAATTTCTCCATATAGCACTTTACTTTCTGCCTCAATAGTTGCATCTTTTATTTACCTGTTTTCTTACTCCAATTTTATTTTTGCTCCTAGATCTGTACTGAAACTATTCTCTAAAGTAGTGACTCTCTAATTTCGTGTGCATAAAAAAACAGGGAAGCCCTGTTAAAATATGGATTCTCGGGGCCCATTCTGCTATATTCCGATTTAACAGGTGGGAATAATGGAGCAGAAATGGTAAGGTAGAATTAGGATGGCACATTTTAAAGCTAAGTGACCAATGTTTTACATAAAGTAACTTCAACTTAACCCCAAATCTATTTTCATTTAAAATTTAAAATAAAATAACATACATTTTATTCTTATAAGTTCAAGTAGTACGGAGGTTTAAAAGTAAACTGTAGCCTCTCCTCACATATTCTCAATCTCATAACCTAAAGGTAACCCAGGTTAACATTTGGATGAGTGTCTTCATATACATTTTATTTTAATGTACATATGGGCATTATATAATTTCCTTTGTCTAAAACAAGAGGAAGGTATATAGTCAGTCACGTTTCTAACTTTGCTGATTGATTTTGATATTTAAATGATCCTCTTGACTTTTCTAGATAGGAAATTGTCTGTAATTAATTCAAATTTGCAAGCCCTCCTTTCCATATTTCACATAGTTTTCTAAGACCAATAATAGTAGAAACAAAACAATAGCTTTCTTTTGTCATTCATTGAAAAACATATGTATTAAGAATTTGTATGAGGAAACTCCATTTATGTGTAGAAGACTCTCCAAACCATAATGCCATTTCTACCATAGTCCCTGTGATTGAGAATTTTCAGTTTTCTGTTTGACATCTTCATATGGATGTTATGTCAGTACAATAATCTTCCTAAGTCTAAAATGGTATTTGTCCCTGCTGGAAAGGCTGAAAATCATAAGAATCATGTCTTATTTGTTCTCATAAAGCCCAATCCTCCCTCTCCTTTTATAAACTATTTGTTTCTTATACTCAACTAAACCTTAATCTTATTTATCCTTTATTATCCTGCCTTGGAAATCTACAATCCTTGAGAGGCCTTGCAGGTGAGCCCACCATGGCTATGTGCTGCTTCTTTGATAAACTGGAACACTAAAATCTTTATTGAGTTTGAAGTCATTGTATTAAGGGTCTTGTCACCCTAGGTACACCTAGCAGGTATGTAGTTAGGATCTTGTAAACAACCACATCCTTCATCTCTCCCTGTCCATTTGGACTCCCATAAACAACTTAGTATATTAGAGAAAATATAGTGGCTGTGACCAATGGACTGGAAATATTGCTTGAGTTCAAACCCTAGCTCAGCCACTTAGCAGCTTGACTGCTTGCTTTGCAGAACTTATCCTCAAATATCTTATCTTCAAAAGGAGTTAATGCTAGCACTGACCTGTCTTATAAGATTAATAGAAACAAAAGGAATAATTATGTGATGTACTTAGAATTGTGCCAAGCACAGACTTAAACACATATTTGTGTTCAGTGTTTATTGTCCTAGACACTGATCATAATCATTAAACCATCTACAAAGAAAGGAAGAACCAATCACCTCAAATAACCCTTGATCTCTGCGATAAACGTCAATGCAGAGCTTCCAGCTTGAGATGAAGTGAGAAAATGTCGAGGAAAAAATATAGATCCATATATTTTTTGAAAATTATCTTGTGACACTGGGATTATGAAAAAAGGTAAATATTAGGACTGCCATTTCAAAATTAGAACATTTGTTGACCTCATGGCAAAAGGAGACATAAGGACTCAGATTAAAAATTACAGAAAAAAGAATATTATAAACACTTAAACAACAAAAATTGAAAGTACATAAATTGTCAAATTACCAGTATTTAATTTATTTGATCATAAACAGAGTATAGATGAAAATATAACAGCATTTGTAATAATATTTCGTAAACTCTTTTAATTCCCTCTCAAACTAGTCAAATAGTTTCAATTAGTTCTCTCCACTGGCAAATATTAATTCAAGACATAAACTGAAAAGATAGACTTCTAAAATAATCCTTTCTGCCATCATGAATTATTACCTAGGCTTACTGGAAAATGTAAATTATCTAAGGAATAGTTGTAATGTAAATATTATACCATTCATTAGATTTTTTTCCATAGGTAATTTTACAAGGCCATTGTGAACATTCAAATGTATAACAATTTTGGAATTAGTAGAAATGTATACTTGGCTTTACAAGAAGTTGTAGCCAGTAAAATATAAAATCTTACCTCAGATATAAAATTAGACATTAGTTATTTAAAACCTCTATAAAAACCAAACACTTCCTTCTATTATGTATAGATTAGCATTGTACACTGATTTATGAAAAAAACAAAGCAAAACAGGGATTTAAATGACTACTGTATTTTACTGACTCTATTTGATTAATCAGTGGCTTGTCAAGAGCTCCAGAATTTATTAGAGAAAAATTTCTCTGAAAAAGTCAATAAAATAATGAATCAAGTATAGGAAGTTGGATGTGTTAAATATAAAATAAAACAACCAGCAACAGAAAAAAAACCCCTAAACTTTCAAAATAAAGGAGGAGAGGTCAGTGCAAAACTGTTTATCAGTTTATGAAATCAAATTGGTGGACTATAGATTGTACCCTTGTCGTATGGCTTAACTCCCAAGCTATTTATTAGACTGAAATTACTATGATGGCTGTGTTATATTGGTGCACAATAACATCTGAAAAAAGGGATCCCTGAGAACTTTTAATGTTTTTTCTACCACTAAAAATATAGGTGACAGGGATTCAGAAAAGCTCTATTCTAACAAAGCAAAACCTTCAGACTGTACTCATCTCTTTTTTGTCTTCAAGAAGTCACCAGCTTCTTCAAGCCAATCCATAATTAGTCAAAGTAGATTATTTTAACACTGAAGATAAATTGAATGCAAATTACATAATGGTAAAGAAATGTGAAAATTATTTCACTAATTCCTATTTATAATAGCTTTGTGTAGTATGAATTTTCAGGTGCTAGAGCACTATTTCCTGGAAAATAATCTGAAACTTGTCATTAGGTGACTTAATCATTCCATGCAAGTTTTATGTGATCCTTAACCATGAGAATGATGCTATTCCCTCTGGATTCAGCTATTCTTCAATTATGTAGTTTCTATCTTCCCAAGAATTTTACTCAACTCTTCTTTCTGATTCCTTTTCCAGTTCATTCCGATCTCCTTTGAAAAGCAAATAAACAAATCAGAAGCTGCTTCTCATTATTTCCAAACCACGAAGTGATTCTCTGCTAGCTAATTCTATAACTCTACATACATCAAAACATGCTCTGCTAAGGAGAGTTCCTTTTCAGACTTTTTATTGCAATGTCGCTTCCTTTAAGTATTTCTAGATTTAGTACATTTTTCCTATTCTTTTTACATTTTATATTGTCTTCACATTTCATATTTTCTTTGCTTTGTTATCGTAATACAACATCATTACACTTAAAGCCTACATTTGCATTTTAAGTTTGTGCTTGGAATATCACTATAAAATACACCCACGATTATTTAGGAAATAGATTTTTACCATAGAGCAAGAAAATAGTTATATATATTACATGAAACACTAGCAAACTTCTATTTCTAACTTATATTTCCTTCATATTTCCAGAGATATATGCACCAGAAGCTATGCGTCAAATTAGTTAACTATTTGGTCAAATATGGCTTATGTAGATAAGGCCTGTATTATATTTTAAATTTGTTAAAACAATATCTTTCATTTGCAAGGTATTGTGTAACTTATATAACATTTTAAAGCATAATAATATAATATACATTACTTGATTTTTATAAAACCATTGTTACAAAGGCTGTATACCAATTTTACTGATAAAGAAACAATGCCTATGGCTATTAGTAGCAGGTTTGGGACCAGTTCCAAGTCTTCATATTTATGCTCCATTACTCCTTTCACCAAAGTGCACAACTTGGCTAAGTGCAACTTTTGTATAAATAGACTCATAGCCAAGTAAAATTGAATTAACAGGGTTAAAACATTTTGTAGCTTTTATTTAAATGTGTATAGGCAAGGAAATTATATTTATAACAGGCTTAAAAAGAATTTATAAAAATTGTAAAAACAATTTACTCTGCTAAGGTAGATGAAAACTTAAAGATAAGTGAATTTTCATAATTCACTTATTTCCTACTTCTTCCAAAAGAAGTAGGGCTGGCAAATAGACATATTAATGACGTTTCTTTGATTCTTTTATTTTTGCTGCCACATGTTCCATAATAAAAGAAATAAGTGAAAACTTGTAATTTATATTTACATTTTCTCCAATTGTTTTCAAATTTCTACATAGTATTATATAGCAACAGTGAGTTTTTATCAACCCGAAGAAAAAGGCCCTCAGCAACAAGAACAAAAATGTTGGGAAGTGATGCAAGGCATACTGTACCTGTTAATAATTGCACTTAATCAAATTATCTGAGAGGAGAGGTCTCCTGAATATGGATTCTGAATATGGTTTCTATATAGGGTCTAACTCCATAGGATTCAAATGGGACTCAGAAAATTTTCCTAAAAGACAGCAGACAACCATATACCAGATTTCCAGAATAATTGATTTAATCATACACTTTATATAAAAAAGTTACATTTTATAGTGGGAAAAAAGTAAATTACCAAAAGATGATTTTACGTTTTCCAAATGAAAATATGCAGAACCCAGAGAATCCAGTGGTTTAGTTAAGATTACATACATAAGATTACAAGAAATGAAACTAGACTAAAGGTCATGACTGCTGATTCTCTATACACTTACATTTGTTTCAATAAATAGTTACTTTCCAAGAAAAAAAAGTTTTAGAAATTTCTGACCTAAATTTGTATTATTACAGTTGAAAATATGAAGCCACCTGATTAATTTACCATAGGCTGTTCTTTAAACTGTGAAGAAGAAACTAATGAAGCAGCAGTAGTGTTATTTTGTTGGCAGAGAAAAATTTTCATGACGGTCCAATAAAATTAATTATGCAATACATTATACTGAGAGCTATTCTGAAAATAAAGTAGAAATCTGAGTCAAATTTACATCAGTTTCTAGAAGGGTCATAAAATTAATTGCCTTTTACAGTTTAACATTATAAATAAAGCAACCCTGATATGTCCTCTCCATTTGTTGACAGAATTTATTTGTTCATGTCATAGTCAGAAGGGTAGAAACAGATGAATCAAGTGCCCTTTCATTTCACCAGCCTTCAGATTTAATTGAAGAAGGCTGCTTTGCTAATCTCCATCTCAGGGAAATTGCAAAATTGCTTATTAGGTTATCTTTCAATTTTAATCACTTCCCAGAGTAGAGATAGAGACTCAAGCACCTAGCACAAAAATTGAGTAAGTGAAATATTGCTCATATATAGAGTTTCCCAATGCACATGTTTGCAAAGCAAATATTCCACGTATATTAGATTGCATGACCATGATTCTGATTAGTTATGTGTAATTTAAAATGAAAAATAGTAAAACCATGTTAAAATTGTTTGGCAGTTTTGCCAAATAATTGTTGGAAGAAAGGCACAGATTTGCTTCCTTGATAGGGTAAAATACATTATGAGGTAGCTTTGTGCTTTTATTAGAATTCTGCATAACTTACCATTACCAAATGTATTAAGAAGCTCCCTAGGCTCTCAACATATATATCTATCCCTTTATCTTAGGTCATTAGATGTAAAAAGTATCGAAAACCTGTGTTTCAAGCACTAAAAACTTTTATTTCTCAAATATATATACATTTATATATATGTTTCTCAAATATATATACATTTATATATATGTTTCTCAAATATATATACATTTATATATATGTTTCTCAAATATATATACATTTATATATATGTTTCTCAAATATATATACATTTATATATATTTCTCATATATACATTTATATATATATTTCTCAAATATATATACATTTATATATATATTTCTCAAATATATATACATTTATATATATATTTCTCAAATATATATACATTTATATATATATTTCTCAAATATATATACTTTTATATATATATTTCTCAAATATATATACATTTATATATATTTCTCAAGTATATATACATTTATATATATTTCTCAAATATGTACATATTTATATATATTTCTCAGATATGTACATATTTATACATATTTCTCAGATATGTACATATTTATATATATTTCTCAAATATGTATATATTTATATATATTTCTCAAATATGTATATTTATACATATATTTCTGAAATATATATATTTATGCGTATATTTCTCAAATATGTATATTTATACATATATTTCTCAAATATATATATTTATACATATATTTCTCAAATATATATATACATATATTTCTAAAATATATATATTTATACATATATTTCTCAAATATATATATACATATATTTCTAAAATATATATATTTATACATATATTTCTCAAATATATATATTTATACACTTATTTCTCAAATATATATATTTATACATATATTTCTCAAATATATATACATACATATATTTCTCAAATATATATATTCATACATATATTTCTCAAAGATATATATATTCATACATATATTTCTCAAGTATATATTCATACATATATTTCTCAAAATATATATACATACATATATTTCTCAAATATATCTATTCATACATATATTTCTCAAATATATATTTTCATACATATATTTCTCAAATTTATATGTATACATATGTTTCTCAAATATATATATTTCTCAAATATATACATATTTGCATGTATATTTCTCAAATATATATATTTGCATATATATTTCTCAAATATATATTTATATATATTTCTCAAATATATATAATATATAGGCTTTTAAGAATAATTGTTTTCCATCCATCATGTAATTTTCTTGTGTTAAAATTGTGTGTTACAATTGTTACAAGAATTTTTTCTTGAAACTACTGGGCAGAAATTATATTTTTCTTTACTTTGAATGAAGCAAAGTAAATTATTGACTGGAATCCATAAAATTATAGTAATTAGACCAAAATATTATGGGAATTTTGTGAGTTGGAGTTCTCTTCATAGTTTATTTCCTTCAGTTTGTATCCAAATTAGTGCCAATGACTTTCTAAGAAAATGACATTTTCATAAAAATTATAATAAAATAGCTATAATTTTTCATCACCAATGTATCCCTACAAATTTGACCAAAATCATAGGAATTATTTAACATCTTTTCTCTCATTTATTCTATGCAATATTATGTTGTTATCTCCATTATACAGATAGTGAGGCTGAAGAATAGAAAAGTTAAAAACTTTCTCCAGACTACATGGCTGCCAAATGATAGAGCTAAGAGTTCAGTCCACATTTGGCTAATGCTAATATCTATACTCTTTACCCTGATTAACAGCATTCTGTACTACCAAGTTTAAATTAGTGACAAGGTGATCCGAGATGATCTGATCACAATTTGAGAAATAGCCACATGACTTGTCTCTCATCTCCACAAACAACTTCACAATATGCTCTAGCGAGGTATCTTTTGGTAGGAAGATATATATTCCCTAGACTTGTATGACTTACATTATAATTAGAAACAGAGCAATATTGAAAACAAAAATTTAGTCTACTTCTGTGTTTGATATAAAGAAGCCAAGAGATAGTTTAAGGCATATGAATCAGAAGGATAATTAATATTTTTTCCCATTAAAAAGTAATATTATTTATAAGCAATTTGGACAATATAAAAAAATAAACAGTAGAGAAAAAGGATCAGCCATAATTCCATTGTTTACGTGCAATTGATAAAAATTTTCCATATATATTAGCACATATAATATCAGTGTATTATATCATGGTATATGTCAATTACAATATACATTATATAGTTCAGTTATAATTATGTATTTGTATTTATAGGTATATAGAGAATAAGAATATAAAATTTACATGCTTGCCTATAAATCTTTGTCATATATTTATTTTATTAGAAAAATAATCTAGAAACTGATTGGAAAAATTTGATTTACTTTACCAAATTTCTTTACAGAAATTTATATCAGTTTATACTCCCAACTATAGAAAAGTAATTGACATCTTGTCATATAGGGGAAGTGAGGGTTGTATTATCCAAGCTGCCAAGAACACTGTAGTTAGTTTCTTCACTAGACATTGGTTTAGGTCTCTTCCCTAGACATTGCCCAAGGTTAGGCCCCTCTCCAGGGTACCTATTTGCAATTACTAGTTAATGTGGAAGGACGAAGGTCTAAACTCCTTGCCCAATTCAAGACATTTCTAAAGGACTATCCCAGCTCCAGAGCTCTTAATGGGATTGGCTTAGACATTGGTTGCAACTGGATCAGAGTTCAAATTTTCTCTCTGCCAAGTCCTACAAATGATAACAAATGTATCATCATGAGCTTTGTTACCAAAAGCTCTCCTCAGCAAACTGCCTTCAAACTAATCTCTACCTGAGCTTGTTTCCAGTGGAACTTGACTTAAAACATATTAATTTTTGATATCTCCACTCGTAAATATGGTATCCTTCTCCTTTATTTAAGGCTATTTTTCAAATGTGTCTTGATAATGTTTTGTGTTTTTCTCCCTAATCATTTCAATTTATAAATCTAAACATTTTATAGATATAGATATAGATATTTGATGTAATGAATACAATGAATTAATACATTTTACTACCTAAAGGCAATTTTTTTTGTGATGATAAACCATCAAACTCAAATAAAAAAAGAAACCCTGAAATATTTATAAAAAATACAAAGAATCAATAGGATTAACATGTATAGAGTGATTATGAATCAGTAATCAATTACTAACACCAAAATAGAGTAATCACCAAAGCATCTTCACATTTTGTCTTTAGTTGAGGCCTAAATTGTAAAGTAGGTTGAGGCAAGTCAAAGTCTGAGGTCGAACGTCCACTGTGCTCCTCCAGCCTCTCTTTATCTCCTAATTCCCTTGCTTCAGAGGATGTTACCTGGCTCCTTAGATCTCTATGAAACACCATCTGGAAACTGTTGCTTTAAAAGAGAAATTAATTTTAAATAGGAATAAAGCATAGAGAAATAAACATATAAACAAATTACTTTTCTATCGTTAACCATATTAAAGCATAAAGCATTAAAGATTCATGTTAAAGGGGGAAGGTACATCTTTTCTATTATTTATAATAAATTTTGACATAAAAATAATAATAGAGTATAATGAGACAAATAATTACAAACTTTCAATACTGAGACCTTCAAATAGGTAACATCCAATACTTTCTGAGAAATTATCTCAAGTCATTAGAGATTCAGAGAAATATTTCAATTCATAATTTTGATTAAAGTATTGTTTATAACAGATAATGTTAAACAATCAAAATGCTCATGGAAAAACAATAATAGGTAACAATTCTTGAGAGTTTACTATGATTTGGATACTCCAAATAATAACTCGAGATAAGTTCCAAAATTGACCCATTTTATGGTCTATCCATGTAATAGAAAATGATTCTGCAAGGTGTGCAGGCAGCACATAAAAGTTGACAGTTGCAGAACCACAGCTCCTCTCTGATACACTCCTGAAGAACAGTGGTAAAGGGAAATTTTCTCAGGAAAACCTTCAAAGCTACCCACTTTGCTTTGAAGGAGAAATGGCCAGGCATGCAATTCATGGGCTGCCAATTGTTTGGATGGTCAGGAACTTGGAAGAAACATGATTGGAAAATTGGTGACAAAGACATTTGGGAAAGAGGAATGTGAATAGACGTGTTAGAATGGGCAAATGACATAATAATATGTGTCCCATGTGAAACTCACCAAAAGGTGGCCTCAACAGAGGAGTATTTTAGTAATCAAATGGATAGGATGACATGTTTTGTAAATAGCAATTGGCCTCTCCCCAACCCTTGCCACCAAGTGCTCCTCACGCCTCTGAGTCAACAGGCAAAGAAGAGAATAACAGTGTTGGCTAAGGTAATTGCTCCTGACTACCAAGGGAAAATTTGACTACTACTCCACAATGGAGGTAAGGAAGAATATGTCTGAAGTACAGGACATCCCTTAGGATGTCCTCGGTGTTACTATGTCCTGTGATTAAGGTCAATAGGAAATTACAACCCCATCCAAGCAGAACTACAAATGACCCAGGCCCTTTAGGGATTAAGTTTGGGTCACCTTATTAGGTAAAGAACATAACCAGCTGAGGTACTTACTGAAGGCAAAGAGAACACAGAATGAGTAGTAGAAGGTAGTTATAAATACGAACTATACTGTGTGACTTAAGAAATTAAGAAATTGTCTTGAATATTTACTTTCTCTCTAATATCCTTATGATGTAACATAAAATTATTAACTTTTTATCAGTATTAAGTATTATTACCACTACATCATAGTATTTAAGTTATGTGACATTACTTAAGGACTTTACATTCTCTTCTGGGGAAGGGATTAGATTTTTGGTTATATGCAAGATAGCTGTATTATGTTATATGGAATGACCTTATTATTGTCTTTATTTGTGTATGGGTGCCAAGTTGATAAAGGGTCAGTATTTGCTGGTTAATTGTATGTGTCAACTTGACTGGGCTTGACCAAATAGCTGGCAAAAGATTATTTCTGGGTGTGTCTGTGAGGATATCTCCAGAAGTGATTAGAATTTGAGTCAGTTGCCTGAGTAAAGATCATTCCTTTCGCAAGGTGGCCTGGCATTATGCAACCTTTTGAGCACTCTAATGAAGCAAAAAAGGGAGGGCAAATTCTCTCTCTCCTATTGAGCTGGGACATCCATCTTCTGCCTTTGGATGTAGGAGCTTTTGGTTTTTATACCTTCTGAATCCAGAACTTATACCCTCATCCCTCCTTCCCCACAACCCCTGGTTCTCAGCTTTTCAGACATGGGCTGGAATTTACACCATAGGTGGAATCTTGCTTCTCAGGTTTCCTGATCAGCCTGGACTAAATTATATCACTGGCTTTGATGGTTCTTCCAGCTTGCAGAGTTGGTGGTAGGACTCCTCAGCCTTCACAATTATGAGAGCCAATTCCCAAAATCAATCTCTCTCTCTCTCTCTCTGTTAGGATAGAGAGATACATACTTGTTTGTATTGCTTTCTCTCTCTCTCTTCTGAGATAGAAAGACAGAGAAATACAAACAAGTATGCATTGTCTTATAATCAGATAAAATTATTTACAAAGTATGTATTATCTTATAATCACATAAAATTGTTATTTGGAAATACAAAACATATTAAAGAGTATCCACTTATTAAAACTGTGAGGTATAACTTTGCTTGTTGATTTTGGTAGCAGCCAAAGTATTGACCCCAAAATAAATATGCTGACTTCTTTGAGGAATTATTGTAGTAGGTAAGGTATCATTTACTTCATGTCTTATTTGGTTCAAAAATGTCATTTATGCAATTTCCTTAGAATTCCCTTTCTATGCTCTTTGTACGAGCTGCAATTTGGTTTCTCATACTTACATTTTGTGAAGGTTTCTCATAAAATGGGGTTTTCTAGCATTATCTGGGCCATTTATGTCACTATTTCTATCTCTCTCTCTGTGTCTGTTTCTTTTTGCATTAGAGTGAAAGAGTACAAAATGTAATTTGTCCATTAGTAAAAAATTATGAGTCCAGGTTGGCAAGGGCAAATGGAGACCTCAACAATAGGTCAATTGTGATGTAATTAATTACAGTCATGTAGCTTGGAGTTCAGGCTGATGACGATTCAGTTACACATCCCAGAGAGAGGGAGAAAGAGAACACAGACTGATTCTGTTCCAAACAGTTAACAGAAAATGTCGTTGTGCCTTATTCTGCTTACAAGTGAAACTCTTGAAAAATCTTAATGGAAAGAACTAATGTATTTTTTTTTTGGTAAATTTTACTTGAAATTGTTTCTACAGGTTATAAGAGAAAAATGTATCAGTGTTCTTTATGGTTAGGTCTGTAGGATTTTCTCTTAACCATTCACAAAATTGCCAATTAAGTTTTATTTTCTAACATTTTTCTGTTGTTTAAAAAAGTGCATGAACATATATATGTGTGTATATATATATACACAAACACACACACACACACACATCCCATCAGTGAAAAAATAATCATTTAATGTTCTCCTAAGTTATATAAGTCTAACTTACTGGACCATATGTATTTGAAGAGAATGAACATGTACATTAAATAATTTTATAGTGCATCTAAGATGTATTAGGTTCTGAGTCTTAGAATAATTTACAATGAAAAGGAATGTGGTTTCCACCTTAATAAAAATGAAGTGTTTTGGATATACATAAGAAACGATGACACTGATTCAAGATTTGTTCATTTTAATAGTTTAACACGCACAAAATATTTGAGAATAATATTTTACTGAGCTTTCTTGTATTTTTAATTTTTTTTTCAGCTGCCATTTCTGAGCCTTTTAATATTTCAAGTTTGCTCAAAAACTTTCCAACATTCTTAGTGTTAATCAATTTATCCACATTGTTTTCCAGAATTTTTCAGTGAAATTTTTGAGCCAATATAAATGTCTCAAATATTTTTGAGACAATGTCTCTCACACAGTAAGATCAATTTCACATTATAATCCAACAGTGATAGTGTAGTTTGAATGCTGTGCTAAGGTGACTGGAGACTACTTTTAAAAATCAGTATAGGCAATAAATAATTTGTGTTAAAAACAAGCTTGAGAAACTTGAAGCTAAATTTAAAGATTTAAGGAAGCCAACTTGAGGGAAGGGACAAAGAAAATTAGGAAAACATTAGAGTTGACACCTATGAGAACTTTGCTATTACTTTTCCTTAAAAATGTCTACAGGAATCTCATTTTCACCTCCTATTTGTCACTGTTCTATCCTTTCTTTCTCGCTTTCTCCCTCCTTGCTTCCTCACTCTCTTTATTCTTTCCTGCTCTCTACAAATATTAACTTAGTCTTAAGATAATCCAAGCAGTGAGTGGATACACATACAAAAAATAAATATTCATAAACTGAAATTCTGTCTATTTACTCTCCTGTTTAATTGGTTTTCTATTTAAAATATATTAGTTATATTTCCTTTTATATTCTTATCTACTCTTTTAAAAGCTTTGTGTGTGCTATTTTTTATATTTACTGGAAGCTTCATGTGTACTTGTTCATATATGTTATATGTTTTCCTAACAATATAGGAAAAATAACTTTTAATATAATTCTATTAAAATAAGTTTTATATATCATTACCTACCTACATATGTGCTTCTCCAACTTTTTACATTAGAAATGCATTTTCCTTACAGGTAGAAATTTCATTGTTTTATATTTTTATGTCAAAAATAATTTTTGAGAGTTGCACCATTTATAATCAGGTTTTAATAATAATTTAGACTCCTTTTTACAGCTTTCAAAACTCTAGTTCATTATTTTGTATCTTGAGTTTATTTTAAATAAGGAGTTTAATGTTTATCTGAGTGATAAATATTTATCATAATACTAAGAAAATCATAACAAAGAAAGAAACATATTGTTGTTCTTATTCTGTGCTTTTTTTTTCATGGTTATTCAGCTGCTTCAGTTTATTCAAGGACTCAAAATATATCCATTGTAAGAGTCAAAACATTATTGTGTTCAGCGTTTACTGACAGGTACAGGGCTGACAATCATTATTTCTAAAGCTTACACTCACTGTTTATATTCACATGTGGTGTTGGGCCTCTTTTCCTCATGTGCTATGGTTCTTTTAAAAATTTTGTTTTCTGTTTTAAGTGTTCAAGTTTGACAAGTCCCACACTGTTTATACTTTAAAAGTGCTCTTTTAACACCTCGCAAATTAAAATACTTAGGTATAAATCTAAAAAATGTGTAAGATCTATATGGGAAAAGCTGCAAAACTCTAATGAAAGAAATCAAAGAAAGCCTAAATAGAGACATTGTATGTTCATGCATAGGAAGAGTCAATATCGTCAAGATGATAGTTTCTCCCAACTTATCTATACATTCAATACCATCCCAATCAGAATTCCAGCAAGTTATTTTGTGGATACCAAGAAGCCTATTTTTAAGTTTGTATAGAGAGGTGAAATACTCAGAATAACCAACACAGTATTAAAAAGGAGAACAAATTAGGGAATAGACACTACACAACTTTCAAACTTCTTATAAAGTTACAGTAATTAAGACAGTGTAGTACTGGTGAAAAACTAAATACATAAATAGAACACAATAGAGAAACAGACATAAAAATATAGTCACGAGCTTTGACAAAGGTGCAAAGACAATACAATAGAAAAAATAGTGCGGGGACAACTAAACATCTACGACCAAAACAAGAAATTTAGCACAGACGTCATACCTTCACAAAAATTAACTAAAACTGGATTACAGACCTGAGAACATCCAGATGACTTTGAGTTTGGCAATGCCTTAGATACAATGCTAAATTATTTGTTACCATGAAAGCAATAATTGATCAGAGAAAATTCATTAAAATTTTTTTAAAAATTTTGTGCTCTGTGGAAGACACTGTAAAGAGAATGAGAAAACAAATCACAGACTCAAAGAAAATGTTAGCAAAGTCATACCTCATTAAGGACTTATGTAAAATATAAAAAGAATGCTCAAAACTCAGTAATAAGTTAATGAACAACCTAATTAAAATGTGGACAAATGATCTGAGTAGACACCTAACTAAAGAAGATTATATAGATGGCAAATAAACATATGAAAAAACGTTGAATATCATGTGTCATTAGGCAACTGCAAATTAGAAAAATAAGATAGTTCTATACACATGTTAGAATGGCCAAAATCCAAAACACTGAAACGCCAAGTGCTGGCAAAGATACGGAGCAACAGGAATTCTTATTCATTGCTGACAGGAATGCAAAATGGTACAGCCACTTTGAAAGACAATTTGATAGTTTCTTACAAAACTAAATATAGTGCCCGTAAATAACCCTTTTTAGTATTTACCCAAGTGAGTTGATAACTTATGTCCACACAAGAACCTGCACCTGCACATGGGTGTTTACAGAAGCTATACTCACAATTGTCAAAATGTGAAAGCAAACAAAATGTACTTCAGTAGATGAATAAACTGTGATATATTCAGACAATATAACACTATGAAGCTCTAAAAATGAATGAGCTATCAAAATACAAAAACATATGGAGAAAATTTAAATGCATAATTACTAAGTAAAAAGGCTAATTTAAGAAAGCCACATACTGTATGATTCCAACTATATGCCATTCTGGAACAGTTAAAACTATGGAGACAGTAAAATGACTAGTAGTTGCCAGGAATTAGGAGGTAGATAAGGAGAAATAAGCAGAACATAGAAAACTTTTAGGGCAGTAAAAATATTCAGTATGATACTATAATGGTGGATATATGTCATCAAACATTTATTTAAAAAATCATAGACTGTACAACACAAGTGAACCCTAACATAAATTTCGGACTTTAGGAGATAGTGATGAGTTTATTTAGGTTTACTGATTGCAACAAATGTACCAATCTGGAGGTATGTTTTATGTGCGTGGGCAGGGGTATATGGGAATTCTCTGTACCTTCCACTCAATTTTGATGTGAATGGCTCTAAAAATTATGTACAGGTTGAGTATCCCTTATCCAAAATGCTGAGACCAGACGTGTTTCAGATTTTTTAGTTTTTTTTCAAATTTTGGAATAGATGCATACATGCAATGAGATATGTTGGGGATGGGATCCAAATCTAGACACAAAATTCATTTATGTTTTATATATACCTTATACACATAAACTACAGGTAATTTATACAATATTTTAAATAATTTGGTGCATGGGAAGTTTTGATTGTGTTTGACTGCAATCTATCACATGAGTTCAGGTGTAAAATTTTCCACCTGTGATGACATGTTTGTGTTCAAAAAGTTTCGTATTTTGGAGCATTTTGTATTTCAAATTTTTGGATTAGGGATACTCAAGCTGTATTTAAAGAAATATCTACTGAAACTACATTTTTGGAAAATTTTTAAACAGACTATAAATTTCACTTTTTATTTCTTTAGTGTACTGATAGTCTTTTATAGATGATACATTCATCTTATTCTTAAATAATGCCACATAATTAGAGGAATGTTTTCTGACAGTTGCTTTCACAATATTCTCTCCATGCTGATAGATTTTTTTTCCAAACAATTTTTAAAAGCCAACTTTACCTCAAAGGGAAAGATTCAGTACTTGCTAGATAGTAGACTACTGATGGCTGCTAGTCACAGAAAAGATCAGAAATTTCTATTTTTGCAGGATACAAATGCTTAGTGTATCTTTATATTTTAAAATTTCTTCATAAAATTTGCCATGGTATTATGACTAAATCTCTGTTATACAATATACTTAGGGTTACTCTCATTTATTGTAAAGATCCTATTAATTTAGAAAATCTATTTCATGAATTTGGAGCTGCAAGTTATAACATGTCGAAATGCTTTGGGGTGAAAAGCACAGCAACAGGTGAGCATGCTATTATTTCTCCTTTGTTTTGTACAAAGAGGTGTTTTGTCCCACTCTGCCCATAAAATTTGTTGTGTTCAAGATACGATACGGGCAAGTGAAGACACTAGTTTTCATTCATATGTTGCATTAATGTATTACTAAATTTAGATTTCCTTCTTCTGTGTTTAGAAATTAGCAGAGGTGACAGTTATTCTACTTGTTTCCATTACCACAAATGAATCCACTTATGCATTCCCTACGGTTTGCACTGCCCACTTTGGATTATGGATCAGTTCTGTACAGCAGAAGTGTAACATAACCCACAGACGAAAGCCACATGTGTAATTTTGAATTTTGTAGTAGCACATTAGAAAAGTAAAAAGAAGCAGGTGAAATTAATTTTAGTATACTCATTGAACTTAATATACTGGAAATATTATCATTCAATATAAAAATAATAAGAAAAATAAATGAAGTATTTTACATTTTTGTAATGAGTCTTTAAAATTTAGTGTGTATTCTATGCTTAAAGCACATCTTCATTCAGACAAACCACATTTATTTACTTGTTTTGTTATTTCTCTACAATATACATGGGAGCACAAAGGACATTGTGCTAAGTGAAATAAGCCACTCACACAAGAACTAATACTACAGTATTCCACTCACATGAGGTCTGTAAAATAGTCAAACTCATAGAAACAGAGTAGAAGTGTGGCTTCCAGGGGTTGGGGAAGTGAGAATGGGGAATTGCTGTTCAATGAGTATAGAGTTTCAGTTATTCAAAATGTATACATTCTAGAGATCTACTGAACAACATTGTGTCTATAGTTAATAACCCTGTATTGTACATTTAAAAATTTAATAAGATGGTAGATCTCATGTTAAATGTTCTTACTACAATTTTGTTTTCCCTTACAACTTTTATTTTAGGTTCTGGGGTACATGTGCAGGTTTGTTAGATGGGTAAATTTTTTTTTTTTAGACGGAGTTTCTCTCTGTCACCCAGGCTGGAGTGCAGTGGTGTTATCTCGGCTTACTGCAAGCTCGACCTCACAGTAGATGGGTAAATTTTGTGTCAGTGGGGTTTGGTGAACAAATTATTTCCTCACCCAGATAGTGGGCATAGTACATGATGGGTAGTTTTTCTAGCCTTACCCTCCTCCCTCCACCCTCAAGCAGGCCCCAGTGTCTATCGTTTCCTTCTTGTGTTCATGTATACTCAGTACTTAGCTCCCACTTATAAATGAGAATATGTGGTAATTGGTTTTCTGTTCCTGCATTAATACGCTTAGGATAATGGCCTCCAGAAGCATTGCTTGCACATTACTGCAAAGGACATGATTTTGAACTTTTTTATGGCTTTGTAGTATTCCGTGGTGTATATATATATCACATTTTAAAAATCCCGTTCATCACTGATGGGAATCTAGGTTGATTCCATGTCTTTCCTATTGTGAATAGCGCTGCCATGACTGTAAGTGCGCATGTGCCATTATGGTAGTAAGGGGACTGCTGAGTCAAATAGTAGCTCTGTTTTAAGTTCTTTGAGAAATCTCCAGACTGCTTTCCACAGTGGCTAAACTAATTTGCATTTCCACCAGTAGTGTATAAGCATTCCCTTTTCTCTGCAACTTTGCCAGGATCTGTTATTTTTTGACTTTTGTTAATAGTCATTCTGGCTGGTGTGAGATTGTATCTCATTGTGGTTTTGATTTGCATTTCTCTGAGGATTAGTGAAAATGAGCTTTTTTTATATGCTTTTTGGCCATGTGTATGTCTTCTTTTGAGAAGGGTCTGTTAATGTCTTTTGCTCATTTTTAAGAGGTTGTATTCTGCTTGTTGATTTAAGTTCATTATAGATTCTGGATATTAGACTTTTGTCAGATATATAGTTTGCAAACATTTTATCCTATTCTGTAGATTGTTTACTCTGTTGACAGTTTTTTTTGTTGTTGTTGTTGTTGTTTATTTTGTCAAGCAGAAGTTCTTTAGTTTTATTAGGTCCCACTTCTCAATTTTTGTTTTTGTTGCTATTGCTTTTGGAGTCTTCATCAAAAAATCTTTATCAGGGCCTATGTCAAGAATGGTATTTTCTAGATTTTCTACTAGTATTTTTATACCTTTAGGTTTTACATTTAAGCCTTTAATCTATCTCGATTTGATTTTTGTAAATAGTGAAATCTAAGTGTCCACTTTCAATCTTCTGCATATCGCTAGCTAGTTATCCCAGCACCATTTATTAGATAAGGAGTCCTTTCTCTGTTGCTTGTCATTGTCATGTTTCTTGAAGATCAGATGGATGTAGATGTGTTACTTTACTTCTAGGTTCTCTAATCTGTTCTGTTGGTCTATGTGTCTGTTTTTATGCCTGTACCATGCCGTTTTGGTTACTATAGCCTTATAATATAGATAGAAGTTGTGTAGCTGGATGCATCTGGCTTTGTTATTTTTTGCTTAAGATTGCTTTGTCTGTTCAGTCTCTTTTGATTCCATGTGAATAATTTTAGAGTACTTTCTAATTCTGTAAAAAATGTCATTGATAATTTGATAAAAATAGCATTAAATCTGTAAATTGCTTTCAGCAATGTGGCCATTTTAACGATATTGATTCTTCCTATCCATGAGCATGCAATATTTTTCTATTTGTTTGTGTGAACACTGATTTCTTTCAGCAGTGTTTTGTAATTCTTGTAGAGATCCTTCACCTCCCTGATTAGCTGTATTGCTAGGTATTTTATTCTTTTTGTTGCTACTGTGAATAGTATTGCATTTTTTATTTTGCTCTTAGCTTGGACATTATTGGTGTATAGAAATGCTACAGATTTTGTACAATGATTTTCTATTCTGAAACTTTGCTGAAGGTGTTCAGCAAAGGAGCCTTTGGGCAGAGATTATACAGTTTTCTACATTTAGAATTATACTGGCTGTGAAGAGACATAGTTTGCCATTCTCTCTTCCTATTTGGATGGCTTTTATTTCTTTCTCTTGCCTGATTGCTCTGGCTAGAACTTCCTGAAATATGTTGAATAAGTGTGGTGAGAGTGGGTATCCTTGTCTTCTTCCAGTTCTTAAAGTAAATTCTTCCAGCTTTTGCCTGTTCACTATAATATTGGCTGTGGGTTTGTCATAGATGGTGCTTATTATTTTGGGTTATCTTCCTTCTATGCCTAGTTTGTTCAGGGTTTTGTTTTGTTTTATTGCACTTTAAGTTCTGGGATAGATAGTACAGAACATGCAGATTTCTTACGTAGGTATACACTTGTCATGGTGGTTTGCTGCACCCTTCAACCCATTATCTACATTAGGTATTTCTCCTAATGCTATCCCTCCCCTAGCCCCCTACCCCCGACAGGCCCCGATATATGATGTTCCCCTCTCTGTGTCCCTGTGTTCTCATTGTTCAACTCCCACTTATGAGAGAGAACATGCGGTGTTTGGTTTTCCGTTCCTGTGTTATTTAACTGAGAATGATGGTTTCCAGCTTCATCCATGTCGCCGCAAAGGACAT
Organism: Homo sapiens; assembly: GCF_000001405.40. NCBI lineage: Eukaryota > Metazoa > Chordata > Mammalia > Primates > Hominidae > Homo > Homo sapiens. Next base: position 74,629,382 of record NC_000012.12, read on the forward strand.
GAACTTGTCCTTTTTTATGGCTGTGTAGTATTCCATGGTGTATATGTGCCACATTTTCTTCATCCAGTCATTGATGGGCATTTGGGTTGGTTCCAAGTCTTTGATATTGTGAACAGTGCTGCAATAAACATATGTGTGTGTGTGTCTTTATAGTAGAATGATTTATCATCCTTTGGGTATATACCCAGTAATGGGATTGCTGGGTCAAATGGTATTTCTGGTTCTAGATCCTTGAGGAATCGCGACACTGTCTTCCACAATAGTTCAACTAATTTACAATTCCACCAACAGTGTAAAAGCATGCCTATTTCTCCACATCCTCTCCAGCATCTGTTGTTTCCTGACTTTTTAATGGTCGCCATTCTAACTGGCGTGAGATGGTAACTCATCATGGTTTTGATTTGCATTTCTCTAATGACCAGTGATGATGAGCTTTTTTTCATATGCTTGTTGGCCTCATAAATGTCTTCTTTTGAGAAATGTCTGTTTGTATCCTTCACTCACTTTTTGATGGGGTTGTTTGATTTTTTTCTTGTAAATTTGCTTAAGTTCCTCATAGATTCTAGCTGTTAGACCTTTGTCAGATGAATAGATTGCAAAAATTTTCTGCCATTCTGTAGGTTGTCTGTTCACTCTGATGACACTTTCTTTTGCTGTGAAGAAGCTCTTTAGTTTACTTAGATCCTATTTGTCAATTTTGGCTTTTGTTGCCATTGCTTCTGGTGTTTTAGTCAAAAAGTCTTTGCCTGTACCTATGTCCTGAATGGTATTGCCTAGGTTTTCTTCTAGGGTTTTTTATGGTTTTAGGTCTTACGTTAAAGTCTTTAATGCATCTTGAGTTAATTTTTGTATAACGTGTAAGGAAGGGGTCTAGTTTCAGTTTTCTACATGTGGCTAGCCAGTTTTCCCAACACCATTTATTAAACAGGGAATCCTTTTCCCATTGCTTGTTTTTGTCAGGTTTGTCAAAGATCAGATGGTTGTAGATATGTGGCATTATTTCTAAGGCCACTGTGCTCTTTCGTTGGTTTATATATCTGTTTTGATACCAGTACCATGCTGTTTTGGTTACTGTAGTCTTGTAATATAGTTTGAAGTCAGATAGCATGATGCCTCCAGCTTTGATCTTTTTGCTTAGGATTGTCTTGGCTATATGGGCTCTTTTTCAGTTCCATATGAAATTTAAAGTCGTTTTTCTAATTCTGTGAAGAAAGTCAATTGTAACTTGGTGGGGATAGCATTGAATCTATAAATTACTTTGGGCAGTATGCCATTTTCATGATATTAATTATTCCTATCCATGAGCATGGAATGTTTTTCCATTTGTTTATGTCCTCTCTTATTTCCTGGAACAGTGGTTTGTAGTTCTCCTTGAAGAGGTTCTTCATACCCTTGTAGTTTGCATTCCTAGGTACTTTATTCTCTTTGTAGCAATTGTGAATGGGAGTTCACTCATGGTTTGGCTCTCTTTTGGACTATTATTGGTGTATAGGAATGCTTGTGATTTTTGCACACTGATTTTGTATCCTGAGACTTTGCTGAAGTTGCTTATCAGCTTAAAGAGATTTTGGGCTGAGACAGTGGGGTTTTCTAAATATACAATCATGTCATCTGCAAACAGAGACAATTTGACTTCCTCTCTTCCTGTTTGAATACCCTTTATTTCTTTCTCTTGCCTGATTGCCCTGGCCAGAACTTCCAATACTATGTTGAATAGGAGTGGTGAGAGAGGGCATCCTTGTTTTGTGCTGGTTTTCAAAGGGAATGCTTCCAGCTTTTGCCCATTCAGTATGATATTGGCTGTGGGTTTGTCATAAATAGGTCTTATTATTTTGAGCTACATTCCATCAGTACCTAGTTTATTGAGAGTTTTTAGCATGAAGTGGTGTTGAATTTTATCGAAGGCCTTATCTGCATCTATTGAGATAATCATGAGGTTTTTGTCATTGGTTCTTTTTATGTGATGGATTATGTTTATTGATTTGGGTATGCCATTCCTTCTGAAACTATTCCAAACAATAGAAAAAGAGAGACTCCTCCCTAACTCATTTCGTGAGGCCACCATCATCCTGATACCAAAACCCGGCAGAGACACAACAAAAAAAGAAAATTTCAGGCCAATATCCCTGATGAACTTCAGTGCAAAAATCCTCAATAAAATACTGCCAAAGCGAATCCAGCGCCCCATCAAAAAGCTTACCCACAATGATCAAGTTGGCTTCATCCCTAGGATGCAAGGCTGGTTCAGGGTGTTTTTTTTAACATGAAGGGATGTTGAGTTATATCAAAAGCCCTTTCTGTCTCTATTGAGGTAACCATGTGGTTTTTGCTTTTATTTCTATTTATGTGATGAGTGATATTTATTGATTTGCCTATGTTGAACCAACTTTAAGTCCCAGGAATAAAGCCTACTTGATCATGGTAGATTGGCGTTTTTATTTGCTGCAGAATTCAGTATGCTATTATTTTGTTGATAATTTTTGTATCTATGTTCATCAGGGACATTAACCTGAAGGTTTCTTTCTTCATTGTATCTCTGCCAGGTTTCGGTATTAGAATAATTCTGAACTCACACAATCAGTTAGGAAGGAGTCCCTTCTTCTCAATTTTCTGTAATAGTTTCAAAAGAATTACAACCAGCTCTTCTTTACACATCTGGTAGAATTTGGCTGTGGATCCTTCAGGTTCAGGAATTTTTCTGGGTGGCAGGTTTTTGTTTTGTTTTTAATTACTGATTCAATTTCAGAAATCCATATTGGTCTGTTCAGGGTTGCAATTTCTTCCTGGTTCAATCTTGGGAGGTTTTATGTTTCAAGAAATGTTTCTATTTCCTCTAGGTTTCCTAGTTTATGTGCATACAAGTGTTTGTAATGGTCTGGGGGCTTTTTAAATTTCTGTGGGGAAGACGGTAATGTCCCCTTTGTCACTTCAGATTCAGTTAATTTCAACATGCTCTTTTTGTCTTTATTAGCTTAGCTAGTGGACTATCAATCTTATTTATTCTTTCAAAAAGCAAACTTTTATGTTCTTTGATCTTCTGTATGGTTTTTCACATCTCAATTTCATTCAGTTCAGCACCGATATTTGTTATAATATTTGTCTTCTAGCTTTGGAGTTAATTTGCTCTCGTTTCTCTAATTCCTCTAGGTGTGATGTGAGGTTGTTAATCTGAGATCTTTGAAGTTTTTGATGTGGGTGTTTAATGTTATAAACTTCCCTCTTAACACCACCTTAGCTGTTTCCCAGGGATTCTAGTATGTTGTACACTTTTTTCATTAGTTTCAAAGAAGTTCTTGATTTCTGCCTTAATTTCCTTGTTTACCCAAATCACTCATGAGCTGATTGTTTAAGTTCCATGTCACTGTATAGTTTTAAAAGAGTATCTTGATATTGATTTCTATTTTTATTTCACTGTGTTCTAAAAACTCGGTTGGTATAATTTCAGGTTTTTTTAAAATTTGTTGAGAATTGCTTTGTGGCCAAGCATGTGGTCAGTTTTAGACTATGTGCCATATGCAGATGAGAAGAATGTGTATTCTGTTCTTGGGTAGAGGGTTCTGTAGATGTCTCTCAGGTCCATTTGGTCAAATGTCCGGTTTAGGTCTGAAATGTCTTTGTTAGTTTTCTGCCTTCATTATCTGCCTAATTTGTCAATCGGACATTGAAATCTCCCACTATTATCCATTTGGATATATAAGTCTCTTCATAGGTCTTTAAGAACTTGTTTTATGAATTTGGATGCTCCATTGTTGGATGCATATACATTGAAGATAGTTAAGTCCTCTTGTCGAATTGAATTGTTTATCATTATGTAATGCCTTTCTTTGTTCTTTTTGATGATTATTGGTTTAAAGTTTGTTTTGTCTGAAATAAGAAAAGCCACCCTGCTCTTTTTTGCCTTCTATTTGCTTGATAGATATTTCTCCATCTCTTTACTTTGAACCTATAGGTGTCATTGCATTTGAGATAAGTCTCTTGAAGAGAGCAAACAGTTGGGTCTTGCTTCTTTATCCAACTTGCCATTCTGTGGGTTTTAAGTGGGACATTTAGCCCATTTAAGTTCAAGGTTAATATTGATATGTGAACATTTGATTTTGTCCTCATGTTGTTAGTTGTTTGATATGTACACTTGATTGTGTAGTTGTTTTATAGTGTCACTAGTCTATGTACTTAAATGTGTTTTTGTAGTGGCCAGTGACAATCTCTCATTTCCAATTTTAGCACTCCCTTCAGGACATCTTATATGACAGATCTGATGGTAACAAAGTCTTTTAGCATATACTTGTCTAAAAAGGACTTTATTTTTCCTTCAGTTATGAAGTTTAGTTTGGCTGGATTTGAAATTGTTGGTTGGAAATTATTTTCTTTAAGAAAGCTGAATATAGGCCCTCACTCTTTTCTGGTTTGTAGGATTTCTGCCAAAAAGTCCACTGCTAGACTGATGATATTCCCTTTGTAGGTGACCTGTCTCTTCTCTCCAGCTTCCTTTAATATATTTTCCTTCACATTGACCTTGGAGAATCTGAAAACTATGTGTCTTTGGGATACTCTTCTTTTATAGTATCCCAAAGAGGTTCTCTAAATTTCCTAAATTTGAATGTCAATATCTCTACCTCAGTTGGGGAAATTTTCATGGACAATGTTCTCAAATATATTTTTCAAGTTGCTTGTTCTCTCCCTCTGTTTCAGGAACACCAATGTGTCTGTTGTAGGTTTTGCCTATGTATACAATCCCATATTTCTTATAGGTTTTGTTCAATTTTAAAAATTCTTTTTACTTTATCTTTGTCTGACTGAGTTGATTCAAAGAACCAGTCTTTGGGCTCCAAAATTGTTTCCTCTGCTTGGTTTATTATGCTGTTAAAACTTACAATTGAATTATGAAATTCTTATAGTGAGTTTTTCAGCTCTATTATTAGATTAGGAAAGATTAGATTCTTTCCTAAAATGGCTAATTTCATCTTTCACCTCTTGAATTGTATTACTGGATTCCTTAGATTACTTAGATTGGGTTTTAACTTTCCTGTGAATATTGATGATCTTCCTTGCCATCCAGTCTCTGAATTCTATGTCTGTCATTTCATCCAATTTAGTCATGAAGAATTATTACTGGGGAGCTAGTGCAGTCACATGGAGGTAAAAAGACATTGTGGCTTTCAGAGTGGCCAGAGTTCTTGCACTGGCTCCTTTAATCTGTGTGGGCTGAGGCTCTTTTAATCTTTGAAGTTGCTATGCTTTGCATGAGGCTTCTTGCTTTTATATTCTCTGAGGCCCTTGACAGTTTGTCTCTGGTTTAAATTGGGTTTAGTTGACTGGCTTCATTTCTGAATGATTTCAGGGGGCCAAGGATTAGCTCAGTACTCCTGGACTGTGGACTCTCACCCTGGGAGGCTGGGACCAGGTCTACGGTATTGTTCTCTGGCCCCTTGAGATCAAGCACCTGCTGCACTGGAGGGGCCAGAGTGTTCCTGGTCCACTGATAACAACACAAATGGAAGGTGCTGGAAAAGGTGCTTCATCAGGGCAGTGGCAGTGGGTCTGTTCTTGCCCACACATGCCAGGGGCTGTAGGATATACACACATAGTGAGATTCAAAGTGCTCAAAAGTCACATGGGACTGGTTGGTACCTTAACAAATAAAGCCGCTTTAGATGGCTGTACCTTGCCCTTTCGTTTCCTCTTCTCTTCTCTCCTTTCCTCTCCTCTCCTCTCCTCTTCTCTCTCTCTCTCTCTTTCATTTTATTTTATTTTTTTGACAGAGTCTTGCTCTGTCACCCAGGCTGGAGTGCAGTGGCGCAATCGTGGCTCACTGCAACCTCCACCTCCCGGGTTCAAGCAATTCTCCTGCCTCAGCCTCCTGAGTAGCTGGGATTACAGGCTCGTGCCACCACACCTGGCTAATTTTTGTATTTTTAATAGAGATGGAGTTTCACCATGTTGGTCACGCTGGGTCTCGAACCCCTGACCTCATGATCTGCCGGCCTTGGCCTCCCAAAGTGCTGGGATTACAGGCGTAAGCCACCGCGCCCAGGCCCTTTCCTTTTTCTTCAGTTCCTTACTCCTTTAATCCTCTTCTCTGTAAATTAGAAGACTTTAGAAAGTATGCTCAGAACTTTTCAATATAACTTCTCTCTTCACAGCAGAGCATCTTCTTTCTAATTTGATCATTGCCACTTGAAGTTTGGATGTTATTCTTGTATCTTTTTCTTTGTTTACTTTCTCCTGAATTTTACCTGTCTGTAAATTAACTTGTTTAGTTTAGTTTTTTGTCTCTTTGTTTTATTCCATATTAAGAGAATGGTGTTCCATAATCCTGCCTTTCACTGTCATTCTTCCTCAAATTTTCTGTAATGTTATTTTGGTTTCATAATTTGGCTTTATGATCAGATAAAGGATTTTTAAGTATTTTTTTCAACTATCGTTGTATAGTCCTTGGCCTGTATAAAAATTTTGTCTGAGAATATGAATCTTTTTTTTCCTCTGTTATTTCTCCTTTGCCTTCTGAAAACAAGTAGCCTGAAGCCAACCCAATATTTATTCCTATATAAGTAAACTTAAAAAATATTTAACACTTAACACTTACTTAAAAATTGGTTTTATTATGTCTTTTATTTTATTTTTATTTTTATTTTTTATTTTTTTTGACAAAGTCTCACTCTGTTGCCCAGGCTGGAGTGCAGTGACACAATCTTGGTTCACTGCAACCTCTGCTTCCAGGGTTCAAGCAATTCTTGTGCCTCAGTACCCCAAGTAATGCCTGTTATTCAAAAATGTTCCAAAATATTTGTAAATGTATATATATAAATTTTGTTCTGAATGGGGTGGAACTCCAATTATAATATACCAACCCTGCTTAATTTTAAGAACGTTGATTCTATGTTACCTTACTTTTTTTTTATTTGTTTTCATTTCTCCTTGGCATATTTTCTCCCCAACTCTCTTTTGCGTATTTAACATGATCATTCATTTTATCTTTTTGTCCTCTTTCTTTGCAGGCCTAAAGAACTTTCAAGTTTGACCTTTAGGTGAGAGACCTAATTTCCCATAATGTAAATTTTACTCTTTATTTTTGCCATGGGGGATTTAATTTTCTCATTGCATTTGTTTATATTCTTTCACTCTCTCATAATCAGGTCAAATTCCTGTATCAGATCATTTTAAAGGTATCCTTCTATTTTTTTGACTCTTCAACTCATTGTAGAGAATTTCTATTTCAATTTCTTTTGTCTTAATGATTATTTGCTCCTATTTCAGAGAGGCCATTGCCATTTCTTATTTCTGTGAGAATAAAAATAACATTCCCTTTTCTTTCATATTCTGCAGTAGATTATTTTTAGAGCTCTGCTTTTCTTACATTTTTTTTCTGGTTGCTAGTTTCTTCCTCTTTTACCCCAGCCCCTGCCCACCTCACAATGTTTTCTCAAAAGCAGGTTTTCTTTTTCTTTCTTTCTTTCTTCTTTCTTTTCTTTTTCCTTCCTTCCTTCCTTCCTTCCTTCCTTCCTTCCTTCCTTCCTATTTGTTCATTCTCAGTGTTACCAATATAAAACTTTTGCCCTTGTTTTGGGGTTTTATTCAATTGTAATTTTCTGGAACTCAGGAGTTGTAACCTAATAAAGTATATAAGTATATGCTAAGAACTATAAGTTTCAGAAACATTACAATAAGAGATTTTCCTTCTCTGCTCACTGCCTATTCAACCACATTCTATGTTATTTTCAACCACATAGGTAGGTTATACCTATTTATTTTCTGAGAATTATTGTCCCTTCCTATATATAGAAAGATGTTTGAAATGAAGTAAATCCATATTCTTGCTCTTTCACTTATGATACCACACAAGATATAAAATGGACATATAAAACTCAATTGCTTTTCTGTGCACTAATTATGAACCGTTTGAAATATAAATCATGGAAACAGTGTCATTTAAAATAGTTAAAAAGAAATAAAACAGTTGAGAATAAATTTAACCAAGGAGGTGAAATACCTATACACTGAAAACTATTAAAAATGATGAAATAAATAAATAAATGGAAAGATATTCTGTGTTCATATATTGGAAGAATTTATATTTTTAAAAAGTCCATCCTACCCAAAGAGATCTATAGATTCCATATAATCCCTATCAAAATTTCAATGATATTCTTCACATAAATAGAAAAAAAATCCTAAAATTGTTACCAAATCACAAAAGGCCCATAAAAATACCCTGAACAGCCAAGCAATCTGGAGCAAAAAGAACACAGCTTGAGACATCACACTACCCAATTTAAAAATATTATACAATACTGTAGCAGTTAAACGAGTATATTGCTGGCATAAAAATAGACACATAGGCCAGGAGTATAGAATCGAGAACCCAGGAATAAATTCATGCATTTACACTCTATGGATTTTTGACAAAGGTGTCAAGAACACACAATGAGGAAAGGAAGGTGCCTTGATAAACACTGTTGGGATAACTGGATATCCACATGCAGAATAAAATCAGACACAATCTCATGCCATATGCAACAGTCAACTACAATTGATTAAAAACTTACATGTAAGACCTGAAACTGTAAAATTAATGTAGAAAATGGAAGGAAATCTCCATGACATTGTTTTGGATAATGACTTTTTGGATATGAATCCAAAAGCACTAGAAATGAAACAAAAATATACAAACGGGATTGAATCAAACTAAAAGCTCTGCACAGCCAAGAAAGCAATAAACAGAGTGAAGAAATAACCTACAGAATCAGAGTAAATATTTGGAAACTACTCATCTGACAAGGGAGTAACATCCAGAATATACAAGGAACTCACATAACTCAATAGTTAGAAAAAAAAAAAAGAAATCCAATTAAAAAAATGGGCAAAGGACCTGAATAGACATTTTTTCATAGGAAGACATACAAATAGCCAAGAGGTATATGATAAAATAGTCAACATCATTAATCATCAGGGAAACGCAAATTAAAACCACAATGAGATATTGCCTAATGCCTGTCAGAATAGCTATTATCATAAAGGCAAAAGGTAAGAAATGCTTCCAAAGATGTGCGGAAGAGGGAATCCTTGCATACTCTGTGACAATGTAAATTAATCCCATCACTATGAAAAACAGTATGGAGGTTCCTCAAAAAATTAAAAATAGAACTAGCATGTAATTCAACCATCCCACTTCAGGGTATACATTCAAAGGAAATAAAATCACTGTGTCAAAAAATATTTGTACTCTCATGTTGATTGCAGCATTATTCACAATAGCCAAGACATGAAATCAGTCTAAATGTCCATTAATGGATGAATGGAAAAGGAAAATGTAATATATACACAATGGAATACTAGTCAGCCTTAAAGAAAAAGATCTTGTAATTTGCAACAACATGGAGGACATTATGTTAGATTAAATAGGCCAGACATGGCTTATTTCAAAGACAAACCACATGATCTCATTCACATGTGGAATGTGAAAAAGCTGACCTCACAGAAGTAGAGATTAGAAGGATGATTACCAAGGGCAGAGGCAGTGGTTGAAGAGAGAGTTAGGAGATGTTGGTCAAAAGTTACAATTTTTTTTTAGATTTTACTTTTGAGATGGAGTCTAGCTCTGTCACCCAGGCTGGAGTGCAGTGGTGCCATCTCAGCTCACTGCAACCTCTGCTTCCTGGGTTGAAGTGATTCTCCTGCCTCAGCCTCCTAAGCAGCTGGGATTACAGGTGCATGCCACCATGCCTGGCTAATTTTTGTATTTTTAGTAGAGAAGGGGTTTTGTCATGTTGGCCAGGCTGGTCTCGAACTCCTAACCTCCGGTGATCCACCCACCTCGGCCTCCCAAAGTGCTGGGATTACAGGCATGAGCCATGGCACTCAGGCACAAAATTTAAATTAGATAGGAGGATAAGTTCAAGAGGCCTATTGCTTAACATGGTGACTATAGTTAATGTATTGTGTTCTTGAAAATTGCTAAGAGAGTAGATTTTAAGTGTTCTCACAACAAAGAAAAAGATAAGTATGTGAAGTAATGCAAATGTTATTTAGCTCAATTTAGCACTTCCACAATGTACACATATTTAAAAACAATATTTTGTACAAAACAAACATATAATTTTTACCTGTCAATTAAAATGAAGAAATTGATTTTACAAAGAAAAAAAGAAAGATACCTGCACAAAGTTATGGTATTTAGTAATTCTTGTTCTATGGCTTGAATCATTGATATTAAACTATTTCTGAAATAATTTTCTGTACATATTTAAGAGACATATATTTCATAATAAATATTCTGGATATAATTTTCTGAAATGCTTGGCCAATCATTTAGCTTGATCATGATATTGTACCCAATAATGAATAAAAATCCTTCTACATAGTTGCTTTTATTTGGTTAATAGTATTTGGTATTAGGTATTCCCTTGTTAAAAATCTATGTGGATATTTATTGAGATGTTGAGCGTAACTATACAGGGAGCTATTGCTCAAATTTTATTTTGAATTGGTAATCTGGTCTTGGCTTCTGAAGTAGAGTTTATTAAACACACCATAGCCTTTTCAAATATCTCTATGTAAAGCACTTTTTAAAGTACCTTACAAATGTTATGCAAGTTAGGTCTACAAGTAAATCTATCTCTCATTAATACCAATATGCTTGGACCACAGAACACATGAATAATATTTAAGGAGCTTTCTTCATTGATTTCAAGTTTCACTTATAGGATCATAACTATGTTTCTCAAGAAAGAGATTGTTAGGAATACAACCTATATTTGTGTTCGTGTGTGTTTTTCACAGAATGTATATGTACATGTACATGCATGTATGTATTGATTCAATCATAGTGTTGTTTATGTATATACACACACACTTATAAATATATAATTAAGTTCATTTAAATACATGGGATATTGAATTTATGGGAGCACTGTTATAAAACAATATTTCATAGAGATCACATTATTTCTTCTCTCAATAAAATGTTGATATAGCAACTAAAATGTATTAGTAATGAAGAAACACTTTGAGGTGCTTTTTCTCAAATAAGTCAGTAAAACTAATGCTACTTAAAAAAATATACATACTGGTCGGGCACGGTGGCTCACACCTGTAATTCCAGCACTTTGGGAGGTCAAGGCGGGCAGATCATGAGGTCAGGAGTTGGGGACCAGCCTGGCCAACATGACGAAACCCCGTCTCTACTAAAAAATATAAAAATTCCGGGTGTAGTGACACGTACTGAAGGATAAAGTCAGCACTCTGCATTCTTCGTTTTTTTTGTAGAATCTTTTGTAATAAACTGCATATATTTATTGAGTTTAATACTTCCATAATTCATCATCTCCAAAAAAATCCCTAACTTACCTTTGTGTAAGGGATAATCCCTAACTTATCTGGTGGGGTTATTTTACCCCACCAGATATTAGTGAGAAAGAGAAAGGAAAAGATAGCTAGATAAGTGTAAATGAAGATAGATAGATGTAAAAACAGATAGATATGTATAGACAGATAGATATGAATAAATAAGACCAAATGGATCATCAATGGCTTTTACAGACAATTGTTTCCAAAAGAGCTACAGTATCAATTATATAATTATTTCATGATGAAATTTATTTTAATTTGAGTTTGGACAGCGTTATTTGTCCTTCCTTTTTCATGAGCTAATTTTCTTTCCTTTGTTTATCACCTTTTATCTAAGCTACAGAAGTAGATTCTGCAGTCTTTGAGAAATCTTACTTTCTAACTGTAGAGGGAAATTCCTTGGGTGGGGGATAGAGACAGAGAGAGAGAGAGAGAGAGAGAGAGAGAGATTCTTTCTATAAATTTTTACGAAGTAAAAATGTAGAGAGATATTATATGTCTTATGAACCTGCGAAGATTCTATGCGAAAATCAATAAAACTGTAACATAACCAGGAAAATCACACAATCTTGACTAAAGACAGATTTACAAACTTAAGCTTAAAATTCTGTGCTTCTTACTTGCACAGTTTTCTTCCAAGAGACTGAGAGCATCCCTGACATGTATTTGCATGATCAAGTATTTTTGTAAAACTTGCCAAAAAAACCCATATTTTAATTACATTTGGTTGAAACCATTGTCTCTTTCCACTCTGACTTCCTCTTTATGTCAGGTGGCATTGAAGTAGTCAGAGACATTTTTAAGCTCCTGTTTTGAGTTCGTAATACTCCATTTTAACTGCAATTTGAAAGACTATAATGTTTCAGTACAACAGTGAGAAATGGCAGACTCCCTATTTAGGCAAGTGTTAAGAGTTCTTAGCAGCCCCGCCCTCTGCCCCATGACACCACTGCCACTGATGTAAAAATATGCGTGGAGGTAGCCAGCCTCTCACCCCACCCCAGTGCTCCATGCCCACACCAACACCACTGTGGATGAAAATGTGCACACAGAAGCCAGTGGCCCTGTCCCCAATTTCCACTCCTGCACCACCACTGCCACCACTGCCAAAGCCTGCATGGAGACCAGGAACCCCACACCCACCAGTGCCCTGCCCCAGTTGACAAGCATGCACTTTACCATGCTGCCACTACTGCTGACATGAGCAAATGAGCACAGATCCTGCTGCCACCACCAGATGAAATGCTTTGTCTGGCACCACTCTTTGGAGTGTTGTGGTCAGCAGTATGGGAACATCTCAGGCCCTCCAGCACAACAGGTTCCTAACCTCGAGTGGTCAGAAAACAAAGCCAGTTTTAATGTGATGAAATAGTGATATAAATGATAAATGTAAATTATACCATTTACTGAAAGGAAGACACAAGTAGATTAGTGCATAAGCATCTATTCATGCATGTTAGATGTAAATACATATATACCTGAGCATTCAAAATGATTATAAACAAAGGCATCACTGAAGAAAACTGACCAGGAAGTTAAAATGCAGATGAAAGTACTGATAGATTCTCAGACAGATTAGTGAAAGTACACCTATTCCTTGACATGCCCTGATTAAGTATTTAGGGTTGTTCAGTCAGTGACTATTAAGCATAAATTCTGATTACCTTTGTTGGAGTGAAATGACTTTATTTCACCTTTCTCTTAAAAAATTTGCTTCACTAACTATAGAATTCTATAATAAAGGTTGTTTTACAGGAATATTTTTCACTTACTTCATTGCACTAATTATTCTCTTGGCTTCTGGAGTTTATAGTTGTTGATGAGAAATCTCCTGTCAATCTGATTGTTAAGTAGATAATCTTTCTTTTCTATCTGGTTGTTTTTAAGGTCATATTGTTCTCTATAATGTTATACCAGATGATTGCCTATAGGTTTTTAAAAATGTATCCTGGTTGGTATTTCATATACTTTTATAAATCCTGAGACTCATGATGGTCTTCCATTTTGGAAAGTTCTCTGCCTTTGTCTCTGTCATATTACCACTATCACCATTTCCCCATTCCCACTTTCACATATTCAGTAAATATTGATATGTATTTTATGCACTTCTCTTAATTTCTATTATTGGTTCCCACACTCTCATCTCTTTGTAATGTGTTCTGAATTTTCTCTAGGTCCACGTGACATGAATGACAATATTCATTTAAAAATTATATTGGTGCCTTTAAAATTTCACCTCTTATTTCCCCACAACATCTCCATGTTTAGTAGAATTCATCAGTGAACATTCTGAGCCTGGTGTTTTCTGTTTTGGAAGGTTATTAATCATGAGTTAAATGTATTTAATAGATACAGGCCTGTTGAAATTATCCATTTATTTTTGAATTTTGGTACAGTGTATCTTTTTTAAAAATTGGTTAATTTCATCTCTGTTATCAAATTTGTGGGCATAGAGTTGTTCATAATATTCATTTAACATCTTTTTAATATTCATGGAAACAGTACTGATGGCTCTTCTTTCACTTCCCATATTAGTAATGTGTCTTCTCTCCTTTTCCCTAGTTAATCTGGCTAGATGCTTATTAAACTTAATGATCTTTTCAAAGAAGCAGTGTTTACTTTTATTGATTTTCTCTATAGATTTTCTGTTTTCAATTTTATAAATTTCTGTCCTAATTTTTATTTTGTAATTTCTTATACTTTGGAATTATATGGCTCTCCTCCTTTTGAGATGGAAGTTTATATTATTAATTTTAGACTTTTCTTTTTTATTTTTTTCTAATACAGTGTTCATCTATTTCTCCTTGTAGTTCTGGTTTTGTTGTTGTTGTTGTTTTTCTGAGATGGAATCTTGCTCTGTGGCTCAGACTGGGGTACAGTGGTACGATCTTGTCTAACTGCAACCTCCACCTCCCGGGTTTAAGCAATTTTCCCAACTCAGCCTCCCGAGTAGCTGGAATTACAGGTGCGTGCCACCACGCTCAGCTAATTTTTGTATTTTTAGTAGAGATGGGGTTTCACCGTGTTGGCCAGGCTGGTCTTGAACTCTTGACCTTGTAATCTGCCCACCTCGGTCTCCTAAAGTGCTGGGATTGCAGGCGTGTGCTGACTTGCCCGGAAGTTCTATCTGTTTTTGCCTCAGGTATTTTGACAATCTGTTGTTTGGTGCATACTCATTAAGGATTGTTGTATCTTCTGGGATAATTGACCTCATTATTATTACATAATGCCCCTTTTCATTCTTGAACATTTTTCTTGTTTGCTTTGTCTGAAATTAATACAGCTACTCTAGCTTTCTTTTGATTAGTGATAGCATAGCATAGTTCATCTTTCTCCCTTTACTTTTTAAGATCTATGTGTTTTTATATTTCAAGTGGGTTTCTTGTAGATTACAAATAGCTGGGTTGTGGTTTTTTTAAACCCATTCTTATAGTCTATTTTAATTAGTATTTAGGCTATTTATCTTTAAAATGGTTATTAATATAGTTGAATAAATATCTACCGTATTTGATACTGTTTTCTATTCATTGTCTTTGTTGTTTTTCTCTGTTTTGTCTTCCGCTTTCTTCTTCTTTGGTTTTCATTGATCATTTTACATACTTTTATTTTCTCTCCTCTCTTAGTATATCAATTACACTTTTTTTAAAAAATATTTTTAGTGGTTGCTTCAGTTTGTGGCACTTTTACAGTAAACAAAATCCTCCTCAAAATAACACTATAACACTACATGATAGCTATTAAATGTTACCTGTCCCAGGGCTCAATCATCGTCTGTCTCCTTGTACGTTTTATCTGTATGGTCTCTCTGGTGATCTCATTCAGTCACATGGCTTTCAACATCATCTCTCTGCCATTGATACCCAATTGTATATATTTATATCTTTATCCCTATCTGTCTATGCCTCACACACATACATTGAAATAGAGACTTATTTAAGCATCTCAAAATTAACTTATTTTGAATTTTAACTTTTGTCCTAACCCTGCATCTCAGCTAGTCTATCATATTTCGTTAGTGGCTTCAACATTATTTTAATTGCACAGCCACAAAGCCCACTGAGCTGGTGACTCAGGCAGTTGACTGCCCTTTTTCTCTTCCCTCTTCTGCTAGCAAATTCATTACTAAATCCTATCTGGGATTTCACACTTGATGTTCCCTAGAACACTCATTTCTCAGTTATACCCAGGGCAGTGACCTTTTCATCAGTAAAGTCTTTGTTCAGATGAAGCTTCTTCATACATTTCTTTTTGACTACCCAATCTACAATAGCCTTGCCAATGCTGGCCTGTGCCATATTCACAGAGCCTAGGATAGTAGGTTTTCAGGACCCATCTATTAGTAAATGAATGTTTTCTTTTAGAGAAAAATGCGTATCAAGTTTCTATAGCTCTGCATCAATGCCATCTACTATATGTACATTAACTAAAACAACGATTAAAATCTAAAATTGATTTAAGTAGCCTTTCTCATACAGAAAGGTATATATATATATATAAAAGCTATATATTTTTCAAGATTCACTAATATACTATTTTATTAAATGTTAAAATTTTTAAGAACTATATTTTCATTTTTTCTTTAAATTTAAATTGCTTTTATTTCAAGGCTTGCATTTGGTTTCTACTTATGTGCTTCTTATACTTAGCTCTATGTGCTAATGGTCTAGCAGTGAATAAAATGGGCAAAAGCCTTGCCTTCCTGGAAGTCAGTAAGATGGGAGTAAAATAGGAGATTGTGGTTTTCTAGAAGTCAAGTGAAAAAAGTGTTTCCAGAGAGAATGATCAACTGTCAAATTTCCTTACAGGTCAATTCATATGAAGTCTGAGAACTGAAGATTGGATGCAGTTAATTGGAGAAATACTTTCAAATGGGTACAGTCCAAACTTTGAAGTAATATAAATCCACATTTGAAAATTCCATATACCTCTATTTAAACTGTTTGTGCTCACTAAACCTGAAATTTTTAAGACTATAAAATAAAAATAGGCTGGGCGGAGTGGCTCACGCCTGTAATCCCAGCAATATGGGAGGCCGGGACAGGTGGATCACCTGAGGTCAGGAGTTTGAAAACAGCCTGGCCAATATGGTGAAATTCCATCTCTAATAAAAATACCAAAAGAAAAAAATAAAATTAGCTAGATGTGGTGGTGTGCAACTGTAATCCCAGCTATCCGGAGGCTGAGACAGGAGAATTGCTTAAAACTGGGAAGCAGAGTTTGCAGTGAGCTGAGATTGTGCCACTGCACTCCAGCGTGGGTGACAGAGCAAGGCTCTGTCTCTAAATAAAATAATAATAATAATAAAATAAATACTTTTTACTTCATAGATTTATTCAAGGAGTCAAAGGTGATTATGAATTTAAAGCTTAGTGAGTTAGCACATGGTAGGCACTGAATAAATATTGCATTTTATCAGTTACTAAATTAGAATATGGACACACTTTTAAAATTGAAAGTTTTTAAAAATTTTTATTTTAACTTAACAGTAATAAGAACTGCAAAGCAGATCACTGACAATACATTTATTTTGTTAATTGCTGCTTCATGGACCAACTAAAAGTCTATCCCTTCAACAAGTGATACTGCTTTTAAATTCTGTGGAGAACTTGGGCCTGAGTGTTTTAATATTTGTGTATTGAATTTATTAGTATTTTTCTGTATTGGCTTTATTCATTGTTCTTCTTTTATGCACCATTGTTTATTTCTTTGCATCATGTTTCTTACAATAGCTGGTTTTCCACAAGAAGATCAAAAGATCATTTTCTAAGTAATCATATCAAACATGTAATTACTGATTGTAAGTACATAAAACTAAATTTAATTTTAGATTTTGTATGGTCAATAAGGATATGACTGACTCTCAAATATTTCATGTTTTTCAGTTATAATTATTGCAACCCATCAAATATTTAAATGCTTTAACAAAGTTTATCTAAACATATTTAATGCTTACATATTTATAGAGTTGAAGAAGTATCTGAAAATTGAGAAAGAGTTAAAGACAATTTGGCCTATGGTTTTCCAGTGAACATTTTTATTCAGTTTTTTAAAAAACCAACAAACATACAAAAGCCATGTAATTTAATTTGGTTCTTTTATTTCTGAAATAGTTATATTACTGTACCACACATTATGTTAGAGACAGAGGCATCTCCACTGAAAAGGAACTGCTTTGTACAGTTGCTTATGATGAACAGTGTTTGTAATAACACAAAGATAGGTAAAACACCCATGTTTTCTAGAATGTATTTTGATCCAGAGCCATAAAGGCCTGATACTAGATGGAAATAGAAACAAAGAGACAGCTTTCTCTATAACCATGTTTTCTTCTCGTCCTGAAGGGCAATGGCTCCTCCCTATGGACAGAGAAACAGTTGAAATAAAGATCAGCTTATTTTTCAGATATGTTATAAACCAGCTATGCTAATATCAATATCAGCATAGGGAAGGTTGGGGAATATTCTACTACAGTCATTAGATTGTGCTATATATTAATTACCAAAGGAAGGAAAATATAAATCTTTTCTATGAACAATTTGAACATATGCATTAATTAAACAGGAAACAAGACAGTGTTTTGCCAAATTTGAAAGTGACATAATTGAGACTTAAAAAAGTTAGTTTCATGAAAATTGTCCACTGCATTTAGTTAAGGATAACAAAAATCCCACAAAACGTGGGCCAATTAAAGCAAAACCACTTCCTTTCCAATTTGGCAGCTTCTTGAATGTTTAGCAAGCTATGAAGGATCATTTTAGTTTATACAGATGAGAGGAGGATGCATGTGTGATTCAGAGTCTTTTTCACACAAATAAGCAATTATTTTGGACTTGGGAACTTTGTTAGCTTTGTTTGAGATGCTTGTGAAGTCATAGTCGTTTTTACTAACATCTGCTATTTCCATTTATACTCCTCAAAGACATAGTCATATGTAGAAATCAAGGAATTCAGCAAGAAGATTAAAAAAATTTTAAATGTGATTCGTTTTCTTTAAGGCAAAACTCTTTTTTGAATTTTTAAAATAGATATCATTTATTATTATTATGGTTTTTCACTAGTAATAAAAATCAGCTTTGATGTTATTCTCTTTTGTTGCCTTGGTTCGTGTTATGTTTCTATATTTGCAGAATAATCTTTAAATCCTATCATATGCTATATATAGACTGGAATATAAATTATTTTTATTTCTAATATATGAAAACAATTGTCTTAAAAGGTTTCAAATCGATTCTTAAAAAAATTTCTCTTAAACAGCCACTCTTTTATATTGTAGCTGCCCTAATTGCAAGCCCAATATAACACAAATGTAGATAATTTCCAGAGCTTTATTGCTATACTTGCCTGTCTATTACCGTCCTGTAAGCTACTCCAGGATTATATTACCAACACTGATACAATATTCTGCTTTCCTCTAACATTATCACTTGTTAGTATTAGGCTTATTCCTATATATGTAAATTTTACATTTTATATGAATTTTACTTGGAGACCTCTAACTACATGTTTCCAGATAAGGCCAGAGACTGCATAATCAACATATTTGGATAGTAATATTCACACTTGTGATACAATTTGTGTCAAAATCAGGTTTATTTCCACATTCAGCAAATATGTATTGAAGGTATCACAATGGATTCTCATTAATGTTAGGGGGAACATATTGAAGACAAAAAATATGTGGAAGAAACTAAGAAATAGACAGGTAATCCTCATTATTTAGGGGTTTCATTTTTGTGAATTTGCCTATTCATTAAAATCTATTTGTAGATCCAAATCAATACCCAAGGCTTTCACTGTCATTTGGATCATGTGCATGTTGCTTGTGATGAAAAATTTTAGTTGACCAATGCACATGATCCTGGCTGAGGTTGAATAAGGCATTGCTTTGCCATCTTATTTCAGCTTTCATATGGTAGAACATGCCCTTTTAAAATGTTCATTTAGTACCATGTTACTCTCATTTTGTTTGCCTTTTCTTGGTGATTTTACTGTCTAACGTGATAAAATAACCCCCAAGCTTAGTGTTGTAGTGTTGTCTAAGGTTCCTAAGTGTCGAAACAGCTCTGATGTGCCTTAGGAAAAAATACCTGTGTGAGGTAAATGTCATTCAGTCACGAAGTATAGTGTTGTTATCCATGAATTCAGCATAATGAATCAACAATATATATTCAATAATGTGTCTTAAAACAGAAACATACATAAAACAAGATTACAACTTATTGGTTAAAGACAATGTTATGTACCAGAGGCTTCCAGAAACCTAACTCTCAATTTCGTCTTTATTTCACAAAGAAGCAATGATTCAATTATTGCTAATTCAGTGTTCACGGTGACTTTAGAGAACATAATTACCATGAATAATGAAAATCGACTTTACATACAATTTTTCACAGTGAAGCACACTGTAAGACTTCTGTGAAGTTTAAAAGAAGCACTACTCCTAAAATAGGTTCATAAAAAATGTTTTTGGTGCAAGTAAGTTTTGAGCTTGGTCTTCTTGGAAGTGTGAACAGGTAGAGTGAAGACAACTGGAAAATAAGAAAATGGCAGAGGAAAAAGCAAAGAGGTGAGCTTAATCAAGAATGTGGGATGTTAATGGGTGGTCTAGATCCGGAGTCCCAGGAATGTGTTTGGATGAGTAGAGGGTCTAGTGATGAAAAACGCAAGCCATTAAGCTGAGGACTTTGACTTTACTTTAAGAGATAATATTATTTTGAAACCTTGAGTAAGATAAAACTTGTTTAGGTTTTAAATATATTTGTTGAGAATGTGTTAAATGCAATCATTGAAATATGTCTATGATATTCATAACAAATAAATCAGCTGATATTTATTCCAATTGTATTTATCAATTATAGACCCAGATAAATTAATATCTGTAATTTATACTCTGAAATGACTTTTTTTCTGATTGGTTAATAGATATTGATAAAGATTCTTTATAAACAATATATATTACTACCCCTATAATACTGATCCAAAAATTCAATATAAATAATTGAGTAAATATTAATACCCCAATTTTTTTAAATTAGTAATCTTTCTAAATTAAGTATCTTTCAAGCAAATATAAAATTAATATATGGGGAGATTATTTGGTTGACTTTTATTGAGAAAATTAAATATTTTTACTACATTGCAGGAGAGAGAAAACAAATGGCTGCAATTAGAAAATAACATTTGTTGTATTTCCTTTTGTTTTACTCAATTTGTGTGACTTAAATTAATTAATTCGTTAAAGATGTATGTTATTAATTTAAAACACACACACATTGTGTAGAAGCTATATCTCAGGACAAGCTGTGTTCCTCTGTGACTCATTATCAAAAGGCCCATCTGGAGACATGAAAAGAAAAATCTATTCCTTAAACTCCAATGAAAGCGTGATTATCTACTCTATGTGAAGAGAGATTTGGGAGGCTTTTTCTAAATGTGCACTTCAAAGATTGACGAATTGTCTATCCCACTGAAGAGCAGAAACAACACCGAGGGCATAGCAAAGTTAAATGAATTCCCATTACTAAAAGCAAACATATAAACATCTGTAATTCTAATGGCCATGATAAATCTCAGCAGTTGAAAAAGAAAAAAAAGAAAGTCCTAGTTGGCTTGATAATTGGATCAATTTTTCACTTATGGGCTGTCAATTACTTGACATTTTAATGCATGCCAAATACAGCTAAAAGTATTTTAATTAGAATAACGTTGCAAAAACAAACCCTACAGCTTTAATTGTGATTCTGATGCACAAAATGTGCATTTGAATACCTATTTACTGAGAAGGAGTTAATTAAAAGCATAGTTTTATATTGAATATGCACTGGGCAGAAAGAGAGGAAAAATAATTGGCAATTAGGAATATGTAAGAGTCCACTTTATAAAGCTTAGCAAGCTTGCTGAAAACTTTAAACAAGTTGAGAATTTCATTATTATTTTGAATAGTACCAGAAGTTGTAACAATTCAATATTCCCTGCATGGACATAGAATATCTATGGTTGTTAGTTTCAAAAGTTTTGATATTAATATGATATTAAGTTATATTTATATGGTTACTATGATAATTTATATTTATATTTAGGCTACCATTAGCAATCCATAAGACTGAATAAAACCTCCCTTTTCTCATTGAAGTTTGGAACCAGTTTAGTGTAAGACAAAGTCAGAAGAGAAGTCAAACCATCTGCAGTTCTAATAAAATTAGTATTGAGGACATATCATGAAGCCCAAAGGGGACTGCTCACTCCCTGCCTTGGTGTAAAATAATCAAATTACAAACCATTTTGTTCATTCTACCTCTTCCAGAAAGTTTATAAAATTAGAAGAATTTCCTTTCCCAGAATTTAGATGGCAGAATTCTAGGCTTCTATGCTGTTTGCTGATGATGCTTTTAGCAAGGTCTCAGTAAAGAGGAGAGGAATATAGTGGATCCCAGTGCAACATTTTGCCCAAATAAATCCTACAGCCACTGTTCAGCTGCCTCACGCTGGTCCAGAGTAGGACAAAAATAGGATGACACCAAATCTCTCTCATTTAGAACCATTTATAGTTAGTACCATAAAATCAAAAACCTTAAATTAATGACTATCGTCTACTGTCAAGAAAATTCTTTCCACTGCTGTAAGGAATAAGGTAAGGCAGAGATTTTTTTTCGAGAAAATTTCTTTGTTATGGAAACCAGAGCAATGGGAAAGAGGCTTTTCTTCAGACATGGCCCATCTAGAAAAGTTAGCTCGCCTTTAAGAAGCAAAGAATTTATGCTTTATAAAGTGGCAAAATTAAGAACAGAACTGGGCTGCCCAATCACAAGTCCATTATATCTCACTGATTCTTTGTCATATGTCTGTAGTGTTTATTTTCTTTCTCTCTTTGGTTTGTCATCAAAGTACATTCCACGAATTATTTATCTAAAAATGTCAGATCCACCAAGGCAGAGTTCCTGCCAGTCTTGGTCATCATTTTAAACTTAGTGCCAGGTGCAATGCCAGTCAATGCTAGATAATGCTAGAGTTTCAACAAACATATTTGAATGAATTAATAAATAACCAACAGTTAGCAGCCACCCTCAAGGAGGTGGAGCATAAACTTCACCCTTCAAGTGTGAGCTGCACATGGTGACTTCCATCTAAAGAATACAGTATGGAAATGAGAAAAAGAAGAACGTTACTATGAAGAAACCTGAGAAATACCACCTCAGGCAGGTGACTAAGGATACAATCAACAAAGAAAACTCAAACTGATAATATTTACCCTTGGTATGATGTGATAAAAGTGGCACTTTGCTTCTGTGGTCTTCTTTCTAAGAACAGATAACACCAGATAATTTATGAAAACAAACAAACAAACAAAGTAAGTCTAATCCCAATTGAGAGACACTCTACAAAATGTCGGATTAGGATTACTTAAAACTGTCAAGCACCTTTTCATATACATGTTGATCATTTATTTGTGTTCTTTGAAGGAATATCTATTCAAATCTTTGCCCATTTTCAAATCTGTTTTTTTTCTGCTGTTGAGTTGTAGGATTTCTTTATTTAAAAAATTAAACTCTTATCAGATACTTGTTTTACAATTATTTTCTTACATTATATAGGTTGCCGTTTCAGTCTGTCGATTTTTTTTCTTTGCTCTGCAGAAGGTTTTTAGTTTGATGTAGTCATAATTACCTATTTTTTTTCTTTTGTTGTCTGTGTTTTTGGTGTCATAGTTAGAAAATTATTGACAAGACCAATATTGTGAAGCTTTTCCTCTAAGCTTTCCTCTAGGAGTTTTCTAGTTTCTAGTCTTACATTTAAGCATTAATATTTAATCCATTTGGAGTTAATTTTTATATATGGTTTAAAATAAGAGTCCAATTCATTCATTTACCTGTGGATATCAGGCTTTCTCAACACTGTTTATTGAAAAAAGAATCTTCTCCCATTATGTATTCTAGGTAACTTTGTTGAAGAACAGTTGACCACACACGTATGTGTGAGTTTATTTCTGGGCTCTCTATTCTATTTTGTTCTGTTGGCCTATATGTCTGTCTTTATGCTAAAATCATACTGTTTTAATTACTGTAGCTTTGTAGTGTATTTTTGAAAGTGGTAAATGTGATACCTCCAGTTTTGTTCTTTTTTTTTCTCAAAATTGTTTTGGCTATTTAGGGACTTTTGTGGTTCCATGGGAAGTTTAAGATCTTTTTTATATTTTTGTAAAAAATATGTCATTGAGATTTTGATGGGTACAGTATTAAATCTGTAGATCACTTTATTAGTCTGTTTTCATACTGCTGATACAGACATACCTGATACTGGGAAGAAAAAGAAATGATGTTTAATTGGACTTACAGTTATGCATGGCTGGGGAGGCTTCAGAATCATGGTAGGAGGTGAAAGTCACTTCTTACATGGTAGCAGCAAGAGAAAATGAGGAAGAAGTAAAAGAAGAAACCCCTGATAAACCCATCAGACATCTCACTATCATGAGAATAGCACAAGAAAGACCAGCCCCCCACGACTCAATTACCTCCCCCTGAGTCCCTCCCACAACACGTGGGAATTCTAGGAGATACAATTCAAGTTGAGATTTGGGTGGGGACATAGTCAAACCATATCATTCTGCCCCTGACCCCTCCAAATTTCATGTCCTCACATTTCAAAACCAATCATTCCTTCCCAACAGTCCCCCAAAGTCTTAACTCATTTCAGCATTAACCCAAAAATCTGCAGCCCAAAGTCTCATCTGAGACAAGGCAAGTCTTTTCCACCTATGAGCATGTAAAATCAAAAGCAAGTTAGTTACTTCCTAGATACAATGGGGGTACAGGCATTGGGTAAATACAGCCATTCCAAATGGGAGAAATTGGCCAAAACAAAGGGGTTACAGGGCCCATGCAAGTCTGAAATCCAGTGAGACAGTCAAATTTTTAAAGCTCCAAAATGATCTCTTTTGACTGCAGATATCACATCCAGGTCACGCTGATGCAAGACATTATCCCCCACGGTCTTGGGAAGCTCCACCCCTGGGGCTTTGCAGGGTACAGCCTCCCTCCTGGCTGCTTTCACCTGCTGGTGTTGAGTGTCTGTGGCTTTTCCATCACACAGTGCAAGCTGTCAGTGGATCTATCATTCTGGGGTCTGGATGACGGTGGGCCTCTTCTCACAGCTCCCCTAGATGATGTCCCAGTAGGGACTCTATGTGGGGGCTCTGATCCCACATTTCCCTTCCCCACTGCCCTAGCCAAGGTTCTCCATGAGCGCCCTGCTCTTACAGCAAACTTTTGCCTGGGCATTCTGGTTTTTCCATACATCTTCTGAAATCTAGATGGAGGTTCCAAACCTCAATTCTTGACTTCTGTGTACTCACAGGCTCATGTGAAAGTTTCAAAGGCTTAGGGCTTCCACCCTCTGAAGTCACAGCCTGAGCTCTACATTGGCCCCTTTCAGCCATGGCTGGAGCTGCTGGGACACAGTGCATCAAGTCCCTAGACTGCACAAAGCCCCTGGGCCCAGCCTACGAAACCACTTTTTCCTCCTAGGGCTCCAGGCCTGTGATGGGAGGGGCTGCTATGGAGGTTGCTTACATGGCCTGGAGACATTTTCCCCATGGTCTTGGGGATTAACATTAGGCTCTTTGGTACTTGTGCAAATTTCTGCAGCCAGCTTGAGTTTTTCTTTTCTACTGCATCGTCAGGCTGCAAGTTTTCTGAACTTTTATGCTGTTTCCCTTTTAAAATGGAATGCTTTTAATAGCATCCAAGTCTCCTTTTGAATGTTTTGCTGCTTAGAAATTGCTTCTGCCAGATACCTTAAATCATTTCTCTCAAGTTCAAAGTATTACAATTTTCTAGGGCAGGGGCAAAATGTGCCAGTCTCTTTGCTAAAACATATCAAGGGTAACCTTTGCTCCAGTTCCCAGCAAGTTTCTCATCTCCATCTGAGACTACCTCAGCCTGGACCTTCTTGTTCATATCACTATCAGCACTTTCGTCAAAGCCATTCAACAGGCCTCTAGGAAGTTCCAAACTTTCCCATATTTTTCTGTCTTCTTCTGAACCCTCCAAACTGTTCCAACCTCTGCCTATTACGCTGTTCCAAAGTTACTTCCACATTTTTGGGTATCTTTTCAGCATCACCCTACTCTGCTGGTACCAATTTGCTGTATTAGTCTGTTTTCATGCTGCTGATAAAGACATACCCGAGACTGGGAAGAAAAAGAGAAAAGAGGTTTAATTGGACTGTCAGTTCCACGCGGCTGGGGAGGCCTCCGCCTTGTGGCAGGAGATGAAAGGCACTTCTTACATGGCAATGGCAAGAGAAAATGAGGAAGAAGCAAAAGCACAAACCCCTGATAAACCCATCAGATCTCACGAGATAGGAGGGGAAAGAGCAGCCCCCATGATTCAATTACCTCCCTCCAAGTCCCTCCCATAACACATGGGAAATCTGGGAGATACAATTGAAGTTGAGATTTGGGTGAGGACACAGCCAAACCGTATCAATCACTTTGGGTAGAATGAACCGTTTAATAATATTAAGTCTCCAATTCTTGGATGCAGAATGTTTTCATTTATTTATGTCTTCTTTAATTTTTTTATCAATGTTTTATTGCTTTCAGTGTGCTAACCTTTTACCTCTTAGATTAAATTTATCCCTAAGTATTTTATTCTCTTTGATGCTATTGAAAATGCGATTGTTTTATTAATGTCCTTGTCAAATAGTTTGTTGTTAGTGTAAAAAACACAACCGATTTTTGTATGTTGATTTTGTACTGCAGTTTACTGAATTCATTCATTAGTTCTAACAGTTCGTTTGTTGAGGCTTTAAGGTTTTCTACACATAAAATATGGCATGTTCTCACATATAAATGGGAGCTAAATGATGAGAACTCATGGACACATAGGGTGGAACAACACACACTGGAGCCTTTTGCAGGGTGGTGGGAGAGGATCAGGAAAAACAACTAAAGGGTACTAGGCTTCATACCTGGGTGATGAAACAATCTGTATAACAAACCCCTATGGCACAAGTTTACCTATGTAGTGAACCTACACTTGTACCCCTGAACTTAAAGGTTAAAAAAAAACTATAGAAATAAATTTAAAAATTAAAAAAATCATGTTATCTGCAAAATGGCCAACAGGTATATGAAACGTGTTCAATATCACTAATTATCAGAGAAATGAAAATCAAAATTACAATATCACCTCACACCTATTAGTATGGTTATTACCAAAAAACAAAAGGTAAGTGTTGGTGAGAATATGGAGAAATTGAGACCCTTGTACGCTGTTGTGGGAATGTAATATGGTACAGCCACTATGAAAACAATATGGAGTTTCCTCAAAAAATTAAAAATAGAACTACCATATGATCCAGCAATCCCAGTTCTGAGTATATATCAAAAAGAATTGAAACCAGGACCTCGAAGAGATCTGCCCTTCTATCTTCATTGCAGCATTATGTACAATAGTCAAATATAGAAACAAACTAACTGCACACTGACAGATGAATAAAGAAAATATATATATCACATTTTCTTTATGTATATGTGTATGTGTGTGAATATATATGTGTGTGTGTATATATATATACACATATATATACATATATATACATATATATATATACATATATATATATACATAAAATGGAAAATTATTCAGTCTTAAAAAAGAAAGAAATCCTGCCATATGCAACAACATGAATGCATCTGGGGGACCCTATGCTAAGTAAAACAAGCCAGTGACTGAAGGACATGATTCCATTTGTATAAGCCATCTAAAATAGCTAAACTCAGTTACTGTCTTCAAGCTGCTGCTGCTTCTGTGATGAAGGAAGCCTTTGGTGAAAGAATGGTGCATGAAAAATATGAATAGAAACTTGGTACTATTATCACTCCAGATACATGGAAAGAGGCTACAAATATACCACAGAAATTGGTAGAGAAAAGCTAAATAAAAATAAAAATTTTACTTAAAAAAAGTAAGAGTTAATCCAAATGGAAAGAATAAGTTTCCCACTTATAGAATTTGTATAAGTTCTGGGTACCAACCAGCTTCTCATTACCATCACGGCTGTGCCCACAAAAAGGGAATTTTTATAGTATATGGAAAAAGGTTTTTGTATTAAAAAAAACTACAAACAAATGTCTATTTAGATGTGTTATGACATTTTTTACTTTCTATAATTTTAATTTGTCCTTTAATAATATTAAGCACAAATACTGTACTGTATTGCTGCACAGTAGAGCACCTATAATTATACTACTGTACTATATTATGCAATTTAATAATTAAGAAGGTAGAACTCATGTTAAATTTTTAAGACATAACACAGATGTTTAAGTTACAAAATCACGTTTTAAAACATGTAAGTTTAAACCAGGAAAGTTGACCAATATTCTGTCTTTCACTCTCAAAAATTCTGAATAGCAACAATGTAACTAGTCTTCATCCTTAAGTAGTTATTTTCCTCACAGGCATTTTATTGAACTGTAATATACGGCAAATTTAATGAAAAATAACTTCCAAGTTTTTATGTACTTTTTATTTAATGTTATCCATATAATTCCTATCCACTCTCTCTATTTATAGATACTGCAAAAGTGAGGAGATTATTGACATTTTGCTCTCAACTTAGCATTCAGATTTATAATTCTTCCCTCATTCCTTATTCATTGTATAGCTTTTAGAATCAGCAGACCCTTAATTAATTGCAGTTTCACAGGGTATTTAAATGTTTGAAGCCAATATTGCTGAATGGTGCCTTAGTAATTAGCGTAGATCCAAATCACAGACAAATTGGATTTGTGATTTTAAAATTTGTTCTGAAGCTGAAGTGCCAATTCCTTTCATATAAGAACAAGAACACAAAGAACACCCTGTGTTCTTTCCTGAATCCAGTGAATACACTGGATTTCAGAAAAACACATATTAAACACATTACCTTGAATTCAAACCATCCTGAAAGCAAGGATAAGTGTTCATCCATGATAATGTGAAAAGGAAATGAATCACCAATCTTTGGGAAAAGTCTTTGGAGTACAAACCCAATTTTTGTTTTTACCTCCTCCTCTCCTATCAAAAAAATAAACAGAACAAAGCAAAAAAAAATCTAAAATGAAATATTCAAACTCAGAAGTAGAACACAGCATGATAGTTTCGAGGCTGGGTGGAAATGGGGAGTTGTTCTTCAATAAAGTTTCAGTTATGCAAGTGAATAAGTTCTAAATATCTGCTGTACAATATAGTGACTATAATTAGAATACTGCACTATATTGTGCACTTTAATAATAACTTAAGAAGGTAGAACTCATGTTGAGTTCTGTTACCACATACACATGCATATACAAAACAAAACAAGGGGCAGGAGGAAATTTTTGGAGGTAATAGATATGCTTATTCCCTTGATTATGGTGGTGGTTTCACAATATATGTGCAAGTCCTAACTCATCAAATTTTATACATTATATATGTGCAGTTTTTAACATATAAATTATACCTCAGTAAAGCTGTTTTTTAAAACCATCAATTTAATAAAAACAAAAATGATGAGCCAAAGAAAACATGATGATATCCAAGGAAAATGTAATGGACTTTGGATGGAATCCTGGTAAAGAAAAAAACACTAGGTAAAACCTAAGAAAATCTAAATAATGTATGGACTTTAGTTACTAATAATGTATCAATATGGGTTCACTAATTGTAACAAATGTATCATGATAATGTACAATGTTAAAGGTAGGGGAAACTGGGAGCAAGATATATGTACTAAATTAGCAATATGTCTGTAAATATAAAATTGTTCTAAAATATTAATTTCAAAAATTATAAAATTAACACATATTAAAAATCATCGGCACAATAATGTTCTAGAAAAGAGTAAGGTATGAGGACATTTAAAGTAGGTATACCTTAATTAAGGTTCATGGGATCCTTAATTTTTCAAGGATTAATGGTTATTACTAAGATTGTTTTTAGGACCACTTAGAAGAATAAGCTAGTACGTAAGAGGAAGAAACTATTGCAATTCACAGGCATGTAAATATAGAAGAAACCTAGTCAAAAACTTGCAGGCATTTGCAGTACTGTAAGATAAAATCACTTTTTTCCAATTTTTGAAAAAAATGGTTTAGTCTTCAAGCTTCTCTATTTTTCAGTTTAATTAATTGATTTAGAGAAATTTTGACAGTGTCTATTGTATTTTTTTCTCCTTAAATATTTTTTCATAAAGGCAGGGTCATTTTTATGTGCCAAAGAATAACTAATTTTTTTAAAGTTGGTTGTCATAAGTGTCAAATTATATCATTTAAATACTGAATAATAAAATAAGGGCTAAATTTAAAGTTAGGTCCAACAAGGAATTTGGTTTGGCGAGTAAACATCTTCTTTTGGCAGAGCTTTTTTTTTCTTTTTTTTTTTTTTAAAATTAGTGGTTTTCTGTGAAAAGTTGCTTTCATGTATTTTTGAAAGAAATAAACTTTTTAGTTTAGAATAGTTTTAGATTTATAAAAATAATTGCAAGGATAATACAGAGAGTTTCTATGTACCATCACACCTATTAACACTTTCCCCTATTATTAACTTACTAGTGTGGTGTATTTGTCACAATTAATTGCTTTTCTCATTAGTTTGATGTCACTTGTTCTTGGGAGAAACACCATAGTCACCTGGCTGAGGAAGCGTTTGTCAGTTTCTCTACTATCAAATTACTCTTCCCCCCCTTCCCATACTGTAGTGTTTAGATGGAAGTCACTATGTACACCAACACTTAAAAAATGGGAAGTTATGCTACACCTGCTTGAGAGCATAGTATCCACATAAATTATTATAATTCTTCACAGATTCACAGATTTGTCTATTCTCTCCTAGTTACTTGCTTATTCAGTGTTTTATATCAGAATAGATTCATGGATAATTATTTTATGCTTTGGTTTATAATCTTGTAATACTTTATTTATTTTGCTATCTAAATTGTTTCAGCTTGGGCCATTGGGAGCTCTTTCAATTGGCCCCTATGCCCCTTTGACATATCCCCTCTGCATCCTTGTGGGTTTTTTGTGAAAAAATAATTTTCTTACCTTCTGCAACTATAAGATGCTCCAAGCTGTATCTGCAATTTTGGCCAGATTTCTTTTTTTTAAAGAATAGAATCAGCTTTGTTATTTTCAACAATGAATTAATTTTTAAACTAAATTAATTTTTAGACTAATTTGTGTACAACTTAGTACACAAATTTGTGTACTAATCTAATTTGTGTACAAAATTTGTGTACTCTGTAATTTGTGTACGACTACAGGTATTCTTGTACTTATGCATTAACATTTCTTAAATTCTGAAAATTAATTATTTAACATCAATGTTATTTAGTTGATTTATTGTTGCCTATGCTGATAGTCAAAAGGGTAATTTGCACAAGAACACATGAACACAACCATGTACATTCAGCTGATTATTTAAATTATGAGGACATAAAATATAAGTATGCCGGTGTTCTAGGAAAAGAAAGGAAAACAATGTTCTAAGCTGGCACCTCGATTGGAAGCTTTCAGGTTCTACTTCTCTGGAGCCGTCTCTTCAAGTCTGAAGCCACTTGCCTAGAGCCACTTTTATTAGAACTGTTACTTACCTTAGGTAGGAGAATCTTAAGTTAAAACCCAACTTCTCATTTTTATAAAATCTGCTGCTTCCAATCTAGCTGTGAAGTCTGCTTTGGTGTCAAGCCAATTCTTGGTCACTGCCTCATAGAGCTTTGGTTCCTAGAACTTTGTCCTTAGTCTCTGTCTTAACTGTATGCCAAGAAGTCCAATTCCGTCAACACTGGCCATGCCTACTTAATATTCTTAGTATCACAATCTCCTAGCTTTGATTCAATACTTAGCTGCTTAACTGGGGTTTGACTATCTGCCGAGAGACTTCTCCATAACCAAATGTCACGTGACTAAATTTTATTGCATCTTTCATACAGTCCAGTTCTCTCTTTTAAGATTCTTCAAACCAGCTCTCTGCCAATCAACCGTCATTTACTCTGGAAAACTTGGATTGCCCCAGTATAGGCCACTAGCTCACACCTCCCACCCACAGCTAATCAGATCACACTAAAGGCATTCGTTTATTAAACTTAAAGCAAACATTTTAACATTAATAGGTGATTCTATAATTCTGACAAGTTTTCAAATGACAGATATAGTGGATGTAGGGCAGAATCCACTTCAGAATCTCCTTTGCAAATTTCAGCTGTCCCCCTATTTGCACCTCCTAAAACCTAACATTTCTATTGTAGAAAAACACACTGGCACTCTCAACACATAGGATTTGGTAAAATAGAACCCTCTCATTCCAAAGGTTACCCTGCCTGGATTTACCTATGTGAATCTGTATAGTTTATCTCACTGGCTATATTTCAGAGATGTGGATAATGCCAAAATAGAGCAAGAGACAGTGATGCAGTCTTTGCTGGGAAAACTCAGACAAATTAAACACCAGCATTTGATTAAATGATAGGTAGATGCAAGGCTTGTTTCTGCAGCTAAAAATGAAGCCAACACAATGGAAACAGAGACGCAAAAGAATGTGGGTAAAACTGGATGCTGAAGATATCTTTTGAGCCCCATTATCCAATTACACTTGAAGCTATTCCTATTCCTTGAACATATGAATACATGAGTTAATACAATTCTTTTTTGTCAGCTTCTGCTATTATCAGAAAAGGCAGGTAGCATAGTGTAAATGTTATAGAAATTAGAATCAGACAAACCTGAATCCGATTTTGCTTCATCTAATTATATGAATTGAGTGAAGTTACTTCACCTTTCTGCAGATGTAAAATATTCAATTTGCTCTTAATTCTACTTCAATGCAATATATGGTATTCTTGTAAAAATATTGTTTAAGACAGTT
Source organism: Homo sapiens (assembly GCF_000001405.40). NCBI lineage: Eukaryota > Metazoa > Chordata > Mammalia > Primates > Hominidae > Homo > Homo sapiens. The sequence continues at coordinate 74,661,607 of NC_000012.12, forward strand.
TGATTATTAAAGTGATAGTCTTTTAAAGACAGTTGAAAAATAGGTAATTGAGTAATTGATCTAGACTACAAACTTGAAGCCAAACTAAAAGTTTAATTAGTAATTTAAGTTTGATCTATTAGACATATAAGAGAAGTTTAAATATTTAGGAAGTTTGTTGTTGTTGTTGCTAGAGAACTGAAATATGTTAAAAAGAAATCTAATATAATAACTTTAGAACCTTATTGTTTAAAATTTGAAATATGTAATTAAATCTGGAAACAAGACTAACTATTCCTTAAAGCCCCCTTAGAAATCATTATTCAAATCCAATAAATTTATGTATAGAATAAAAAATTTGTAGAATGAGTTAAAGGCACAGAAAAATATTTTTTAAGTTTAATGATTTTAATATTTAGTTTTAAACTTGAAAAATAATTCTTCTAAATTGTCTTTTAATTGTGATTTTATATCAAAATCACCCTCAAGTATATCAAAAACCTTGTGTCAATGTCACTCAATTCACTTACCCATAAATAACCCTTTAAAAACAGAACTGTTTAATGACAAAGTATGTCTGATGGATCATTTTTCCTTTTGTCTATTTTGTTTATAGGTGATATGTTTGTACAGTAAAAATGAAAAAAAAACCTGCCTTATGAAATACAATAAAAAATACATCCTTCACTTAATTACTTTTCTCAAAACACAACTTATTTCCACAGCAATGGTGTTATCAGTCACTTGTGCATCCTCTAGCCTCAAAGACCTTCTGGGCATGTATACCTTTTGCTCATATAAATAGCACTGTATTATACCTTGTTCCACACCTTACCTTTCTTACTCAACAATATATCTTTTGAGATCCTTCCGTATTATTATGTATGAATAACCTTATCTTTAAAATGGCTGATAGTGTTTTAATATGTGCATTTATCATTATTTCATAGACCAATTCCCTGTTGATAGCTATTTAGGCTTACTTGTTTTTTCCTATGCTATTACAAACAATGTTTCAATGAATATCTATGTATGTACATAGACATTGTACAAAGAATTGTATATCTATTGTACATAGATATTGTCAAATTTTACTCCATAGAAATTATTCCAATTTAGAACCCTACCAAATCCCACAAGATACAGTTAAGATTGTGTTTTCAAAAAGTTTTAACTGAATTCTCCACTATATGTACTGGTTATCAAAAGGCCTATGTTGTATTTAGTTCATCTAAAAATAACAAATTTAATATTAAAAATAGTAATAACTGATAAGGGGTTCCTGTATGTGAAGCATCCTATCATATTACATTTCTGTAAAGTTTATATTACTGTCATATTAATCCTTTACAATAATAGTCTCACTTTCTTTTTAATAGATAAAAATTAGGGCAATACAGAGGTTCCTAGGGACACATAGCTTGAAACTGGCAAAGGCTGTAGTCACTTATTAAGAAGCTATATTTCATTGCTAATAAAATCATTTATTAGTCAGAAATTCTAAGTTATGTAGTAATAATAACTTCCAAATCTCAGCAATATATAAAAGTTTATTTTCATGTGTGCAGTGCACAGCAGGTCCAGGAGATTCTCTAGGGAAGTTTTCCCTCTGTAATGCTCTGTGTCTCACTTCCACATCAGCATGCTCTTCCCTAATCACGAAGGCAGGGGAAGAGACTACATCTCATTTTCTTTTTCTTTCTTTCTCTTTCTTTTTCTTTCTTTCTTTCTTTCTTTCTTTCTTTCTTTCTTTCTTTCTTTCTTTCTTCTTTCTTTCTTTCTTTCTTTCTTTCTTTCTTTCTTTCTTTCCTTCCTTCCTTCCTTCCTTCTTCCTTCCTTCCTTCCTTCCTTCCTTCCTTTCTCTCTCTCTGTCTCTTTCTTTCTTTCTTCTTTCCTTCCTTCCTTTTTTTCTTTTTATGCAAAGTTTTATTTTTAAACTTTTAAAATTTGAAAACAGCTAACCTACATTAAATAACATAGTTTCCAAAGCTGAACGTGCTCACTTACAGCTTAGTTTTTCTGCTTGAAGTACAAACACAATTTCCTAACACTCCTAGGTGGGAACACTACTGTTTGCTGATCTGTGATGAGATGAACTGATCGATCTCAGTTGGCAACATCCCTTTTTCTTCCGTGGTAAGCGTTGAAAAAATTATAGAATAGATGAATTTTTCTAGTTTTACACCGACAGTTTCATCCCAAATGTCTCCTGGGAGAGACATAGACCATATACAGGAATCCATCTTCATACTTCTCACTCTCATACGCCTCTGAGATTGGTGTGGAGACGCTCACCATGCTGTGTCCGTTCACCAACAGGAGGAAGGCTTGAGTAGCATTGAGATGTAAGCGCTTTGTAATTATCTTGATGTGCTCACTCATGTTGACCTGGTCAGGTACAAGGAACCTTTTATTCAGGACAGGAAGCTGCTTCTCACCCTTATATCCTTCTATTATCCCTGGGATTTTGGTTGGATGCTGCGCTAGAATGAGTCGGACATCTTCTGCTCTTCGTTGGAAGGTGCGGCGCTGCTTGAAGGTCTTCTCCGACCGCATGGTGCGGGGATCTGGCCCGCGCTGGCAGCAACCCGAGGGTCCTGGCGGCTCCCGGGGCGGGGGCGGCAGCGGTGGCGGTGACAGATCCAACTCGCCATCTCATTTTCTTCAAACGCTGTGGAGACATCATACGGAACAAGGAAATATAAACCCACTGATAATGATGATGGTAATAATGACAATAACTAACCTTTTACATAGCATATCTGTGTACAAGTCCCTGTTTTTTGGGCTTTGCACATACAGTCATGCCCGATTTGATGACAGGGGTACTTTGTAAGAAATGCGTCAGTAGGCAATTCTGTCTTTGGCAAACATCATAGAGTATTTACACAAACCTACATGGTATAGACTACTACACACCTAGGCTATTGGGTATAGCCCATTGCTCCTTGGCCACAAACGTATACAGCATGTTACTGTACTGAATACTGTAGACAATTGTAACACACTGGTAAGTATTTATGTATTTAAACATATCTAAATATAGAAAAGGCGTAGTGAAAATACAGCATAAGAGATAAAAATTGACACACCTGTATAGGGCGCTTATCATGAATGGAACTTGCAGGACAGAAAGTTGCTCTTGGTGAGTCAGTGAGTGAGTGGTGAGTGAATATGAAGGCCTAGAACATTGCTGTACACTACTGCAGACCTTATAAACACTGAACACTTAGGCTACATTAAATTTGTTTTAAATTTTTTTATTAACCTTAGCTTACTATAACATTTTTCTATAGAAATTTTTTATTTCTTTTTAATTTGTTTTTTCTTTTGTAATAACACTTAGCTTAAAACCTAAACATGGTTTATAGAAATAAACAAATGTTTTATTTCCTTATATCCTTCTTCTATAAGCTTTTTTCAATATTGAAGTTTTATTTTTTATTTTAAAACACTTCTGTAAAATCTAACACACAAACACATTCAACTACCTGAGTTTACACAGGGTCAGAATCATCAGTATCACTGTTTTCCACCTCCACATCTCGTCCCATTTGAAGGTCTTCGGGATCAGTAACACACGTGGAGTTGTCATATCCTATGATAACACTGCCTTCTTCTGGAATACCTCCTGAAGGACTTGTCTGAGGCTATTTTATAGTTAACATTTTTTAATAAGTAAAAGGAATATACTCTAAAATAATGCTAGATGTATAGTATAGTAAATACATAAACCAGTAACAGTCATTTATTGTCATTATCAAGCATTGAGTACTGTACACAATTGTGTGTGCTGTACTTTTATATATGACTGATAGTGTAGTAGGTTTACACCCCATCACCACAAACATGTGAGTAATGCATTGCCCTATGAGATTAAGACAGCTACAACATCACTAAGTGATAGAAAATTTCTAGCTCCATTATAATAGTATGGGATCACTGTAGTGTATTTGTTCTGTCATTGACCAAAATATCATTATCCAGTTCATGACTGTATTTGGCACAACACTATGAATACTAACCCTGTTTTACAGTTGAGGAAACTAGATGATGTTTTTCTGTATATTGAGAAAGTCAAACCCAAAAGTGACCACAAAGGAATATTTTTCTCATTTCAGATTTTAAACATAGAAAGTATGTGTGTATGTGTTTGTATGTGAAATAAATTTTTAAAAATGCCCACACAGAATATTCAAGTTCCACTTTGTACTTCTTTGAGAAGTTGGTCAAAATGGGGCAATCTGGAAGAAGCTATCCAATCAGACTTTATTTGTGTAGGAAATCACAACTAGTAAGTTGGAGGAACATAAGGTTTTGAGTCAGCAACATTTGGTTTCACTCTTGATTGACTATATTTTTAGTTCTACTTACATTTACACTTTACTCTTTATCTTTACATATGCTACTAACAATTTATGTAAAATTTATGTAAAAATTATCTAGGCTAAAACATTACTAGCACACATTTCTAGTTGGTATTTTTCCAGCATGGACAGCTTAATGTCCTTGAGAACATACCTGGGAAGATGAAGTAGGATTTCATACAAAGATCAGCTCTCTACAGGGAGAAGAGATTAAATACATTGTATTAGTCTCATAGTTACCCAAGGTGACTGAGCTGGATGACAATGTTAATGCATTCTTTTTCTTTTCACTTTTTCTAGTTAGATTCAGGATAACTGGTATAGTATTTCTGTCCAGAATCAAAGGTCTTCATGGCTTCCCAGTGAAGCCTCAGACAACAAATTGGAGGTGAGAAAAAAGACAAGTTTGTCACTTCTTAGAGAAATCATTAGCTATGAGACAAATAAAATAGGGGACAAAGAATGGAAAATGTTTTCAGAATCAGGGCAACCTTGTGGTATAATGTTTCTGACCTTGATAAATACAAATAAAAAATATAAATGGAGTAAGAAAAAAAATATTAAGGAGGCACCAGCATAATCTAGAACTGATTCATACCTTAAGCAGGGAAAAGGCTGACAGAAAGGCAGGTGAGGGGGAACGATGGAGATTTCAAGCAAAGGTGATAGTGTTGAATAATTTAAATCGCTTATTAATTGTTTCCACAGTACTGATTTTTCTGCTCCTGTAAAGCTGCATTGAGCTATATTATGATAAATTTCAAATCAGAGAAACTGCTTTACAATAAATATGACACAAAATAGGTACAATTTTTGTAGATTTTGATCAGAGGAATAAAACTTTTTTTTTGCAAGATAATTCTGTAAATTTTGCACAGGTATTATTAGAGAGGAGAAAGAAAATTTGAGGTTTTAAAATTAGCCAAAAGGATGTAGCAATATCTGGGTCTAAGATAGCCATAACATAGGCTTGAACAGCGATGATGACATTGATGGAGATCAAGAAAAATGCAAGATGAAACTGAGAGGAGAGGCCCGGCGCGATGACTCACGCCTGTAATCCCAGCACTTTAGGAGGCTGGCAGATCACTTGAGGCCAGAAGTTTGAGACCAGCCTGGCCAACATGGTGAGACCTGTGTCTCTACTAAAAATACAAAAATTAGCCGGGCGTGGTGGTGTGTGCCTGTAATCCCATCTACCCAGGAGGCTGAGGCAGGAGAATCGCTGGAACCTGGGAGGCAGACTCTGCAGTGAGCCAAGATTGAGCCACTCACTGCACTCCAACTCCAGCCTGAGTGACAGAGCAAAACTGTCAAAAAAAAAAAAAAAAAAAGAAAAGAAAGAAAGAAACAGGGAGGAGAAATTACAGAATTGTAAATAAAAATTCATTTCTTCACTAAAAATCCTAAAGATAAGCAATCTGTTATTGTTACTACAATAGTGATATCTATCTTAGTAAAAATCACAGTAAAGGGGGGAAAATATCATCACTTTCAAAAGTAAAATCTACCATGAGAGTAAGCAAACAGAAAAATAAGTTCCTGATGTTTAAGTTGTAGTAGTCTGAATGTTTGCTATGGTGAAAACAAATAAACAAGTCAAATGGTAACAAATTAACAAGAACAAATATGAATTTTTTCAGACATCATTGTGATGAATTAATGGCTGTTATATAGCAAATGTAAAGAAAAATTATGGGAAGGAAGAAATAATAGAAGAAAGCTGTTAAAATTATCTTGGTTTCATATTTTTAGTATGTTTTCAGGTGACTACTCTTTGCAATGCTCATAATTAATCTGAAATTGATTTTGCATAGTGTTGCTCATAGAGATAGAAAGGCCTAAATACACTAGAAATTCACTTTAATTTTCATGAAATCAAATGTTTCTGTTTTGCATTAGCAGAGATGCAGAGATTAATTTAAAAGTTAGTTGAGGTAGTTTTTAGGTTATATTTTAGAGTTTTTTTATTGGAATAATAGAATAAAGCAGTATTTTTACAAAGGTACCACTAGGAACTCAGTTGGATGTCTTTTCTTTTTAACACATACAAACTATAGCAAACAATTGTATATTTTTTGGCTTATAACAATTTCAAGAGGATTTTAAGTCAATTAAAATGAAATTGGCAACTCGTTTAATTTGATACTATTTTTTACACAAATATGTTTAGCAATAAAAAAGAAGTGAAGTGCAGAAAATGCAATTTGGAAAACAAAGCTGTTTCTAAGTGCAACATTTGTCAAATATCTTTAGGACTGAGCAGTTCTAAGAATGATTCATTGTGCATGAATGACTGAGAAAACACAAATTCAAATAAATGATTGGTTCTAGCAATGATTGAGTAGGTGGATACAAATTTTATCATTTAGTTTGGCATTGCTAAGTGAGGAAGGGTTGATTTATATGAATTAGCATTAATTACAAAGTATTTAATTTGGACCTAGTAAATTGTAAATCTTAAAAAATGAAATTAATAATTCTCTAATAAATTTTAATATTTTATGAAAGTCAAAAAGTAAGTTTCTGTAGAAATCTCATGTAAATATTTGTAGACCTAAGTTTTCAATTATATCTTTAAATAAGTAATAAATATCATAGAATTACAGAATTGGAATAGTGAACTTAAACTAAAGCCAGAACTCAAGTATATTAAGACATAAACCAAAAGGTTGAGAATGAGAGAGTTTGGTTCTTGACGAGAGTAGCCAGTAACTGGTATATATGGTGTTACAGATGTGTAATGCTTCCTCTATAGCCTTTACACAGAGGAATTGAACAGAAAGATGTCAATCTTATCAGATCTGTGTAGGAGAAAATATCTCCATAAATGTGATCGAAAAAGCCAAGTCTACTTTATCATTGAATAGCAATGTTCTGCCAGGATTTCCCCCCAGGAAGCAACCTGAGAAACAAGATTTTACCTGCAGATTATCCAAATATAACAATATTATATTCAACAGATGCTCTTCAAGAAGCAGGTCATTGACTTCATAATGTGTTGTTATAATCAGGAATGAACGAAAAATATCCACATTACTATGATTTATATTTGTTTCTTAGAATACACCTTAGAATGTAAATTCAATTTATTCTCTATCATTCTGGTGTATGAATTGAGTAGCTTATGTAATTGACACATTCTGAATCACAATGTTGAGTGATTATGAATTAATCATTAAATATCTAATAAAGCTTATGATACAAAATAGAAAAATATAAACATATGTAGGGACTCATTATTTTACAAGAGTCTCTTTAGTTATCTTTCTGGAATTTTTTAAAGAATTCAGTGTCATTCAAATGTGTTCCCTTTTAATAATAAAAATATTACCCTTTTAAGATTTTAAAAAATTAATGTGCCATTTCAAAACTTAAAGATCTACTATATTTAGAACTATGCCATTTACAAAATTTCTAAAATATATTTTAATTGTCTCTTCTTTCATGATTTGCCCTTCCTGAGAATCCTTTCTGTCCTAATAACTCTATTGTCTCTCCCCTCTCTAGTTTAAAAAAGCACTTAAGTGCCTACTATAGAACAAGCTCTGTGCTAAGTTAGAAAGATGCAAATATTTTAGAAAATAATGGTCCTCAACCTAAGCCACTTTCATATTCCAGTGGACTTAACAAATATATATAATTTCAAATACTGTCAAACGTGTTATTATTAACTCACAGAAGATGGCTACTTATTGCATCCAGAAGATTCAAGAAAATGTTCCTAGTGAAATAAAATAATACTTGAACTGAGATTTGAAAGATACTTAATGCTAGATAAAAGAGGCGTGAAAATCCATTTTGAGGAGAGGAAATAGCAAAAGCACAAGTGCAGTGGCAAAGAGTAATATGAAATATGTCATGATCATTATAGGCAGATTGTTTTTCCTAGACTATAAAATAAATTCAGAACAAGAGGAGGTTGAAACTGGAGACATATGTGTGAGCCAAGTTGTTTATATTGTTCTTTAATCTCTATTTTGTCTCACAAATAAGATGGAAATCTTTTGGAAAGATAGTGGAAGGCATAGTATATTTTGTACCTTTAAAATGTTTTTCTGTAAGCATTATAGGAAGGCCACAATATAATACTCTAACAGCATAATATGACTTATCATTATCCTTTAATGATAATGTAGGATGATGAAATACTAATGATGATAGCATTATTGTCTGTAATTGCTTTGTCACTATTTACCCTAGCTCTCTGACTTTAACTCCTAAGAATCGTCAATGAAGACTACATAAATGTGTATTCCCCTTTCTTCATGTTTTTGTGGGGAGAGCCTTCCACCACAGTACCGCTCCCATACTCTTGTCTTGTCTTGCCTCTGTTCTCACTCACCAACCTGAAGCATGTGGAAAGACATCTAATGGGTGACTTGGGGATATGAACTGATTACATGTCACTCAGCCCACTCTCATTTCTCTTCAGTTTTGCCTGCCCTCAGTACAAGGTGCTTCCCCTTGTGTGTGTGTGTGTGTGTGTGTGTGTGTGTGTGTGAGAGAGAGAGAGATAGAGAGAGAGAGAGAGAGAGAGAGATATGGTTTGGCTGTGTCCCCACCCAAAATCTCATCTTGAATTTTAATCCCCATAATCCCCACATGTCCAGGGAGACACCAGGAGGAGGTACTTGGATCATGTGGACAATTTTCCCCATGCTGTTCTCTTGATAGTGAATGAGTTCTCACTATATCTTATGGTTTTGTAAGTGTTTGGTAGTTCCTCCTGCATTCATTCTCCTTCCTACTGCCTCGTGAAGAAGGTGTCTTGCTTCCCCTTTGCCTTCAGCCATGATTTTAAGTTTCCTGAGGCCTCCTAGCCACGCTGTACTGTGAGTCAATTAAACCTTTCTTTTATAAGTTACTCAGTCTCAGGCAGTTCCTTATAGCAGTGTGAAAATGGACTAACACAGTGTGTATGTGTTTGTGCGTGTACATGCATTGCGAAGGCTGGGGATGTTGAGGTGTGCCAGTTAGTGGGTAATAAGGATAATTTAAAGGTCAACTATTATAAGCTGATTTTAGCAAATATTTAAGCATAGCATATGGACATGATTACAAGAGAAAATTTGTACTTTCTATCTACCCGGTCATTTCTCAGTTGGTTTCAACCTCAAACAGAGGAGAGAAGGGTGCTATGAATTAATCTTCTAAACCTCTAACATATACGAAGGAACATTTTAATACGTATTCCTAATTGGAACTGGCCCATTTAAAGGTATGATTGGGATGGAAGATTTTGTGCACTTGTTTCCCTCTTTATTTCACTTAATTCCTGGAATCCATTCCAATTGCTCATGTTGTCCAGTAGTCTATCCAGGCTTCCTCTCCCTTCCTCAGATGCAGCTTCTATTCTGCTCTATTCTGCATGAAGATTTACATGCCTGTTTAATAATTTTCTCTGGAGTAACAAGATGATAAGTAGTGATGAGTTTTTGAGCTGCCACTACTGAATAATACATATGCAATTGAGCATATGTTCTCTGCATGCCAAATATCTTTATCCAAATATGTGACTCTAAAAGTAGAAAATTCACATTCAATGACAAGCTTTTGGAAAGTTATTTATGAGCAGATGGGCTTTTTGGTATGTTTGTGTTCCATCAAGTTGATAACTAAATATTTCATCTAAATACAGGAATACCTAGTTTTATTGTGCTTTGCTTTACTGCACTTTGCAGACACTGCATTTTTTACAAATTGAAGTTTTTTGGCAATCCTGAGTCTAGCAAGTCTATTGGCACCATTTTACTAACAGTATGTGCTTACTCTATGCCTGTATCACATTTTGGTAATTCTGATGGATCTGGGCAAAGGAAATTGAAAAACTTTTGGAAAAGATTCACCAGTCTAGACGCCATTCAGAACACTAGTGATTCTTGTGTGGAGGTCAAAATAACAATATTAGCTTGAGTTTGGAAGAAGTTGATTCTAACCTTCATGGCTGACTTTGAGGGGCTCAAGACTACAGTGGTGGAAGTAATTGTCAAGTGTGGTGGAAATTGTAAGAGAACTAGGATTAGAGGTGGAGCCTGAAGATGTGAATGAATTGCTGCAATCTCATGATAAAATATCAATGGATGGAAAGTTGCTTTCTATGAATGAGCAGGGAGTGATTTCTTGAGATGGGATCCACTCCTAGTGAAGATGCTAGGAGCATTGTTGTAAAGACAACAATGGATTTAGTATAGTACATAAACTTAGTTGATAAAGCAGCAACAGGATTTGAGAGGATTTCTTTGATTTTTAAAAGAAGCTCTAGTGTAGCTAAAATGCTACCATATATTGCATGTTACAGGGAAATGCTTCATGAATGGAAGATTCAATCAATATGTCAAACTTCATTATTGTCTTATTTTAAGTAATTGCCACAGCCACTCCAGCCTTCATGAACCACTACCCTGATTGATCAGCAGCCATCAACATCGAAGCAAGAATCTCCACCAGCAAAAAGATTACCACTTGCTGAAGGCTCAGATGATTAGAATTTTCTAGAAATAAAGTAATTTTAGGCTGGGTACAGTGGCTCATGCCTATAATCCCAGAACTTTGGAAGGCCAAACCGAGTGGGTCACTTGACGTTAGGAGCTCAAGACCAGCCTGGTCAACATGGTGAAACCCCATCTCTACTAAAAATACAAAAATTAGCTGGGTGTGGTGGCAGGCGCTTGTAATCCCAGCTCCTCGGGGGATGGGGGGTGAGGTATGAGAATTGCTTGTACCCAGGAGGCAAAGGTTGCAGTGAGCCAAGATTGAGCCACTGCACTCCAACCTGGGTGATAGACTCTGTCTGATAAAAAAAAAAAACAACAGTATTTTAAAAATGAAGGTATGTACATTATTTTTTAAACACAATGCTATTGCACATGTAATAGTTATAGTGTGGTATAAACATAACTTTTACAAACACTGGGAAACCAAAAAAATTGTATGACTCACTTTATTTCAGTGGTCTGGAACCAAACACACATCTCTGTAGTAGGTCTCTGTGTCTCTCCCCTTCTCTATCTCTGTCTATCTATCTATCTATCTATCTATCTATCTATCTATCTATCTATTTATCTTCTATCTATCTTCTATCTATCTATCTATCTATCTATCTATCCTCTTGTGTTTGTATGGGATATATATATATATATATATATATATATATATATATATATATATAAAATCAGGAAATGTGTGAATAGGCTACAGTATAATGTAAAAATAAGTTTTATATATACTAGAAAACCAAAAAAATCATGTGATTTATTACAATGTTCACCTTATTGTGGTGATCTGGAATCAAATCCATAATATCTTCAAGGTAGCCTTGCATTTGAATAATATTTGTTTGGAGTTTATCAGAGAAGCCCTAAGTGACAACAGCAAGTAAGGCAGTAACAGTGTTGCAAACATTGTAGGATGTCTCACTCAACATAATGTATAATATTTATTCCCTTGCTTGTCTGTATTATAGAAACACGATAGTGAAATACCAACATTCATGCCTCAGGGAGTACATGAGACACAGTTCTAGTCACTGAGATGTCAACAATAACCCCTGGTATGGCATCTCTTCTCAAATAAGGTACTGTTAGAAGAAAACTTTTAGCTCACCCTTTCCCTCCTGCCTAGTGTGCAGGAAATATAAGGATGTAAATGCCCCATGTTTTAAAAATGAAGTGAAATTCAGATGTTGAAGATTGTTTGGGATGACATTGTTGAGCACCAAGTGAAAAATAGGTTCCATGTTTCAACCACTATTCATTGGATTTATTTCTCACAAACACATTACTAACCGACAAAGGTAACAAGTGCATTTCAACTTTGGATAGGTCATGATTCTTAGCTGCAGACACTAGAAGCTAATCTAGCTCGTTTATTCTAATTTGTTAAGGAATTGGTTAGTGGAAGTCACATAATACAGAATTGTTAGGGTGGTTTTTAAGCTTGGCTACTACATGAGTAGAAGATGCACTTGAAGAATGACATCTTTAGAAGAAATGCCCAACCACATCATGGGGTCACTGAAAGGGAAAGATATTGCCATTTCCATTGCCTCTACAATAGGAGCTAGAAACTAGAAATTTTATCACATCTACCCCAGGAAACCCACATGCAACAGTTGCTTCGTGTTCTTTCTCTTCATTCATGTTTTATGCAGGTGCATCTGCTTGGAAGAACCTAAGTCCCATGCCTGCACACTTAGTTAAAAGGATATTTGGAAAATGCAGCTTATATGTTGCCAGCCTCTATTTTTCAAGAAAGCAAGCCAAAAAAGTACTGAAATGAGTGTGTGAGTGGTGAGTGAGTTAATATAAAGTGTCTGCAACAAACTGTGCCAACCTTGATTGGTACTGACTTCCTGGAGTGGTGTTCTGAGGAGTGGCTGAACATATGCATGCTCAGCAAGGAAGAGTGACACGATTTATTAGTGATATCTGTTGAGATACAGAGGGAAAGTTTGGATTTGCTTGCCACTTATTGTTTCATCTCCAAGCAAATACTGAAATAAAAAGGCCACTAAAGAGTGTCAGCTGGGGATTTGAGACAGATCAATTACAGGAAAGTAAGATCTGGAAAACACTAAGCTACTCTATTGCTGAGCTACTTAGTCTCAGGCAGAATTGGAGGAACTGAGATTACACAGAGAAGAGACAATGGAAGTAGGACTATCCTGGAACAGAAATACACAAATTAGCACCCTTCCCTTGAGCTGAAGTTATTTTGTCACTTGTTTAGTCAATCTTTAGTTTGTGGGCAGAAAAACAAACAAACATGAATCTAATTGGGGCTGAAAATTTATTTTAGAAACACCTGCTTCTGAAATCTTACAGAAGCATATTATATCAAAGGTTCCTTACCTTCAAGATCTATTCAGAAATGAATAAACTAAGACAAATAATATGTAATTTCTAGGCCCGTAAAACTTATCTGGCCATTTCTTTTTATATGTGAAAAATCTGTGACCCAGAGATACTATGGCTTATGTAAGGTAAAAATGTTAGCAGAGTATTTAAGTATTTCTCAGGCCTATGCTTTTTCTATTAATATGTAATCACATGTTCATTTAATCATCCATATTAAAATGCCATTTTCTTAAATATTATATATAATAAAGAAATATATAAAATAAAGTCTCCATGAACAAGCAGTTTATAATAAAATGGATGAAAAAAGACACATAAATACTGCATTCTTTACAAATTCCAAAGGAAGGAAAGTCATAAAAAAAAAGTATGAAGTTGGAACCAGTCAGATTTTCAGTTCAGAATCTGCCTATATGTGAAAAAGAGAAAATGAGTTTATTAAATTAATCACTGGAAAGAACAAAGAGCAAAGTTTTTAATTAATTTCCACAAAGAAGGCAAAAAACCCACTATAGTATTGATGTGTTGAATATTCCTTCAAGTACTTCAAATATTTCTGTTTTCACAAATGTCACCTTTCATCATTTACTACCATCCTCACCAGCTGAGAAAAACAGATGCTTCCTTAGAAGCTACCAAGTCAAGGTCAGCTGCAAGGAAGAGTGGGATCATGAGTAGCTAGCATTTTCAGTTTTTATAGAAGGAGAATATTTGCCTCTTTCCATCAGTATTCTTAAAGTAAGGAATTCTCCTACCATAATGAGAGATTAAAAGGCTAGGTATCATAAATTTAAAAACTATGTCAATCACAAAATGCTACAAGAGATCTTGAAGTGATAGCTGCACTCCTATGTTCACTGCAGCATTATTTATAAGACACAAGACATGAAAATACCCTAAATGTACACTAATAAATGGATAAAGAAAGATGTGGTATACACATACAATAAAACATTATTCATCCTTAGAAAAGAAAGAAATACCATCATATGTAGCAACATAAATAAGCCTAGAGAACATTACACTAAGTGCAATAAACAAGGCAAAGAAAGAGAAATACTGTGTGATATCATTTATATGTGGAATCTTAAAAAGTAAAACTCATAGCTACTCATACTACAGGGAATGGTATGGTGGTTGCCAGGGGCTGGGTAGACAAGAAAACAGGTATTTGCTATCGGACAGGTATAAATTTCAGTTACTCAAGTTGAATAATTTCTAGAGATCTGCTATACAACAGTGTCTATAGTTAACAATACTGCAGCTTACATGGGCAAGATGGCCAAATAGGAAGAGCTCCGGTCTGCAGCTCACAGCAAGATCAATGTAGATGGGAGGTGATTTCTGCATTTCCAACTGAGGTATCCGGCTCATCTCACTGAGACTGGTTAGACAGTGGGTGCAGGGTGCAGCCCATGGAGGGCAAGCAGAAACAGGGTGGGGCATTGCCTCACCTGGAAAGCACAAGGGGTTGGGGAACTCCCTCCCCTAGCCAAGGGAAGCCATGAGGGACTATGCTGTGAGGAACAGTGCATTCTGGCCCAGGCACACTATGCTTTTCCCATGGTCTTTGCAACCCGCAGACCTGGAGATCCCCTCGGGTGCCTACACCACCAGGACCCTGGGTTTCAAGTACAAATTGGGAAGCCATTTGGGCAGACATTGAGCTAGCTGCAGGGGCTTTTTTTTCATATCCCAGTGGCACCTGGAATGCCAGTGAGACAGACGGTTCACTCCCCTGGAAAGGGGGTTGAAGCCAGGGAGCCAAGTGGTCTAGCTCAGTGGATCCCACCCTCATGGAGACCAGCAAGCTAAGATCCACTGGCTTGCAATTCTCACTGCCAGCACAGCAGTCTGAAGTTGACCTGGAACACTTGAACTTGGTGGGGGAGAGGCATTCACCATTATTAAGGCTTGAGTAGGCGGCTTCACCTCACAGTGTAAGCAAAGCCACCAGGAAGTTCGAACTGGATGGAGCCCACCACAGCCCTGCAAATCCACTATAGCCAGACTGCCTCTCTAGATTCCTCCTCTCTTGGCAGGGCATCTCTGAAACAAAGGCAGCAGCTCCAGTCAGGGGCTTATAGACAAAACTCCCATCTCTTTGAAATAGAGCACCTGGGGGAAGGGGCAGCTGTGGGGGCAGCTTCAGCAGACTTAAACATTCCTGCCTGCTGGCTCTGAAGAGAGCAGAAGATCTCCCAGCACAGTGCTTGAGCTCTGCTAAGAAACAAACTGCCTCCTCAAGTGGGTCCCTGACCCCCATCCCTCCTGACTGGGAGACACCTCCCAGCAGGGGTCAACAGACACCTCATACAGGAGAGCTCCAGCTGGCATCTGGCGGGTGGCCCTCTGGGACGAAGCTCCTGGAGGAAGGAACAGGCAGCTATCTTTGCTGTTCTGCAGCTCCGCTGGTGACACCCAGGCAAACAGGGTCCGGAGTGGACCTCCAGCAAACTCCTGCAGACCTGCAGCAGAGAAGCCTGACTGTTAGAAGGAAAACTAACAAACAGAAAGAATAGCATCACCATCAACAAAAAGCATGTCCACACAAAAACCTCATCCAAAGGTCACCAACATCAAAGACCAAAGGTAGACAAATCCATGAAGATGAGGAAAAACCAGCACAAAAAGGCTGAAAATTCCAAAAACCAGAATGCCTCTTCTCTTTCAAAGGATCACAACTCCTCATCAGCAAAGCAACAAAACTGGACAGAGAACGAGTTTGATGAATTGGCAGAAGTAGGCTTCAGAAGGTGGGTAATAACGAACTCCTCTGAGCTAAAGGAGCATGTTCTAATCCAATGCAAGGAAGCTAACAACCTTGAAAACTTGAAAAAATGTTAGAAGGATTGCTGACTAGAATAACCAGTTTAGAGAAGAATGTAAATGACCTGATGGAGCTGAAAAACACAGCACAAGAACTTTGTGAATTATGCACAAGTATCAATAGCCAAATCGATCATGCAGAAGAAAGGATATCAGAGATTGATGATCAACTTAATGAAATAAAGCTACATGAAAAGACCAAACCTATGTTAGATTGGTGTACCTGAAAGTGACGGGGAGAATAGAACCAAGTTGGAAAACACTCTTCAGGATATTATTCAGGAGAACTTTCCCAACCTAGCAAGACAGGCCAATGTTCAAATTCAGGAAAGACAGAGAACACCACAAAGATACTCCTCAAGAAGAGCAACCCCAGGACACATAATCATCAGATTCACTAAGGTTGAAATGAAGGAAAAAATGTTAAGGGTAGCCACAGAGAAAGGTTGGGTTATCCACAAAGGGAAGCCCATCAGACTAACAGTGGATCTCTCTGTAGAAACCCTACAAGCCAGAAGAGAGTTGGGGGCCAATATTCAACATTCTAAAGAAAAGCATTTTCAACCTATAATTTCATATCCAGCCAAGCTAAGCTTCATAAGCAAAGGAGAAATACAATCCTTTACAGACAAGCAAATGCTGAGAGATTTTGTCACCACCAGGCCTGCCTTACAAGTTGCTCCTAAAGGAAGCACTAAATATGGAAAGGAAAAACTTGTACCAGCCACTGCAAAAACATACCAAATTGTAAAAACCATCGACATTATGAAGAAACTGAATCAACTAATGGGCAAAATAACCACCTAGCATCATAATGACAGGATCAAATTCACAAATAACAATATTAACCTTAAATGTAAATGGGCTAAATGTCCCAATTAAAAGACACAAACTGGCTAATTGGAAAAAGAGTCAAGACCCATCGATGTGCTGTATTCAGAAGACCCATCTCACATGCAAAGATTCATATAGGCTCAAAATAAAGGGATGGAGGAATATGTACCAAGCAAATGGAAAGCAAAAAAAAAAAAAAAAAAAAAAAAAAAAAAAGAAAGGAAAAGAAAACAACAACAACAACAACAAAAAGCAGTGGTTGCAAAACTAGTCTCTGGTAAAACAGACTTTAAACCAACAAAGATCAAAAATACAAAGAAGGGCATTACATAATGGTAAAGGGATCAATGCAACAAGAAGAGCTAACTATCCTAAATATATATACACCCAATACAGGAGCACCCAGATTCATAAAGCAAGCTCTTAGAGACCTATGAAAAGACTTAGACTCCCAGACAATAATAATGGGAGACTTTAACATCCCACTGTCAATATTAGACAGATCAATGAGACAGAAAATTAACAAGGATATTCAGGACTTGAACTCAGCTCTGGATCAAGTGGACCTAACAGACATCTACAGAATTCTCCACCCCAAATCAACAGAATATACAGTTTTCTGAGCACCACATTGCACTTAATCTAAAATTGACCACATAATTGGAAGTAAAACACTCCTCAGCAAATGCAAAAGAAGGGAAATCATAACAAACAGTCTCTCAGACCACAGTGCAATCGAATTAGAACTCAGGATTAAGAAACTCACTCAAAACTGCACAACTACGTGGAAACTGAACAACCTGCTCCTGAATGACCACTGTGTAAGTAATGAAGTTAAGATAGAAATAAGTAAGTTTTTTGAAACCAGTGAGAACAAAGACACAACATACCAGAATTTCTGGAACACAGCCAAAGCAGTGTTTAGAGGGAAATTTATAGCACTAAATGCCCACAGAAGAAAGCAGGAAAGATCTAAAATCGACACCCTAACATCACAATTAAAAGAACTAGAGAAGCAAGAGCAAACAAATTCAAAAGCTAGCAGAAGACAAGAAATAACTAAGATCAGAGAAGAACTGAAGGACATAGAGACTCGAAAAACCTTTCAAAAAATCAATGAGTCCAGAAGCTGTTTTTTTGAAAAGATTAACAAAATTGATAGACCACTAGCCAGACTAATAAAGAAAAAGTGAGAAGAATCAAATAGACACAATAAAAATGATAAAGAGGATGTCACCACTGATCCCACAGAAATAAAAACTACCATCAGAGAACACTATAAACATCTCTACACAAATAAACTAGAAAATCTAGAAGAAATGGGTAAATTCCTGGACACATACACCCTCCCAAGACTAAACCAGGAACAAGTCGAATCCCTGAATAGACCAATAACAAGTTCTGAAATTGAGGCAGTAATTAATAGCCTACAAAAAAAAAAAGGCCAAGAACCAGACGGATTCACAGCCGAATTCTACCAGAGGTACAAAGAGGAGCTGGTTCCATTCCTTCTGAAACTATTCCAAACAATAGAAAAAGGGGGAATCCTCCCTAACTCATTTTATGAGGCCAGTATCATCCTGATACAAAAGCCTGCCAAGGACACAAGAAATAAATTTCAGACCAATATTGCTGATGAATATCGATGTGAATATCCTCAATAAAATACTGGCAAACTGAATCCAGCAACACATCAAAAGCTTATCCAACACAATCAAGTTGGCTTCATCACTGGGTTGTAAGTCTGGCTCAACATACACAAATTAATCAACATAATCCATCACATAAACAGAACCAATGACAAAACCACATGATTATCTCAATAGATGCAGAAAAGGTCTTTGATAAAATTCAACACCGCTTCATGCTAAAACTCTCAATAAACTAGGTATTGATGGAATGTATCTCAAAATAATAAGATCTATTTATGACAAACCCACAGCCATTATCATACTGAATGGGCAAAAGCTGGAAGCATTCCCTTTGAAAACCAGCACAAGACAAGGATGCCCTCTCTCACCACTCCTATTTAACATAGTATTGGAAGTTCTGGCCAGGGCAATCAGACAAGAGAAAGAAATCAAGGGTATTCAAATAGGTATAGAGGAAGCCAAATTGTATCTGAAGAAGACATGATTTTATATTTAGACAACCCCATTGTTTCAGCCCAAAATCTCCTTAATCTGATAAGCAACTTCAGCAAAGTCTCAGGATACAAAATCAGTGTGCAAAAATCACAAGCATTCCTGTACACCAATAGCAGACAAACAGAGAGCCAAATCATGAACAAACTCCCATTCACAATTGCTACTAAGAGAATAAAATACCTAGGAATACAACTTACAAGGGATGTGAAGGACCTCTTCAAGGAGAACTACAAACCACTGCTCGAGGAAATAAGAGAGGACACAAACAAATGGGAAAACATTCTATGCTCATAGATAAGAAGAATCAATATTGTAACAATAGCCATACTGCCCAAAGTAACTTATAGATTCAATGCTATCCCCATGAAGCTACCACTGACTTTCTTCACAAAATTGGAAAAAACTACTTTAAACTCCATATGAAACAAAAAAGGAGCCTGTATAGCCAAAACGATCCTAAGCAAAAAGAACAAAGCTGGAGGCATCATGCTACCTGACTTCCAACTATACTACAAGGCTATAGTAACAAAAACAGCATGTTACTGGTACCAAAACAGATATATAGACCAATGGAACAGAACAGAGGCCTCAGAAATAACACCACACATCTACAGTCATCTGATCTCTGACAAACCCGAGAAAAACAAGCAAAGGGGAAAGGATTCCTTATTTAATAAACGGTGTTGGGAAAACTGGCCAACCACAGGCAGAAAACTGAAACTGGACCCCTTCCTTACACCTTATAGAAAAATTAACTCAAGTTGGATTAAAGACTTAAATGTAAGACCTAAAACCATAAAAGCCCTAGAAGAAAACCTAGGCAATACCGTTCAGGACCTAGGCATGGGCAAAGTCTTCTTGACTAAAACACCAAAAGCAATGGCAACAAAAGCCAAAATTGACAATCGGGATTTAATTAAAAGAAAGAGCTTCTGCACAGCAAAAGAAACTATCACCAGAGTGAACAGGCAACTTACAGAATGGAAGAAAATTTTTGCAATCTATCCATCTGACAAAAGGCTAATATCCAGAACCTTTAAGGAACCTAAACAAATTCACAAGAAAAAAACAAACCCATCAAAAAGTGGGCAAAGGATATGAACAGACACTTCTCAAAAGAAGACGTTTATGTGGCCAACAAACATATGAAAAAAAGTTCATCATCACTGGTCATTAGAGAAATGCAAATCAAAACCACAATGAGATACCATCTCACACCAGTTAGAATGGTGATAATTAAAAAGTCAGAAAACAACAGATGCTGGAGAGAATGTGGAGAAATAGGAATGATTTTACATTGTTGGTGGGAGTGTAAATTAGTTCAACCATTTTGGAAGACAGTGTGCTAATTCCTCAAGGATCTAGAACCTGAAATACCATTTGACCCAGCAATCCCATTACTAGGTATATACCCAGAGGATTATAAATCATTCTACTATAAAGACACATGAACACGGATGTTTATTGCAGCACTGTTCACAATAGCAAAGACTTACTACCAACCCAAATGCCCATCAATGATAGACTGGATAAACAAAATGTGGCACATAAACACCATGGAATACTATGCAGCCATAAAAAAGGATGAGTTCATGTCCTTTGCAGAGACGTGGATGAAGCTGGAAACCATCATTCTCAGCAAACTAAAACAGGAACAGAAAACCAAACACCAAATTTTCTCACTCATAAGTGCGAGTTGAACAATGAGAACACATGGACTCAGGGAGGGGAACGTCATACACTGGGACATGTCAGGGGGGTGGGGGGCTAGGGGAGGAATAGCATTAGGAGAAATACCTAATGTAGATGACAGGTTGATGGGTGCAGTTAACCACCATGACACATGTATACCTATGTAACAAACCTCCACGTTCTGCACATGTATCCCAGAACTTAACGTATAATAAAAAAATACTGCATTGTGCACATAAAATGTTAAGGAAGTACATTCCATGTTAACAGTTCATTCTACTATTATAAAAAATATGTAAAAATACAAAGAAACAACACAGAAAGCCAATTAAAAAACAAAAACAGAAAGCCACATGGTCTAATATTTTTTTCAGTAAAAATAATTGTAAGACTAATTCATGCTAAAATTCTTCTTCCATGTCCTATTTTCAGGAATGAGAATGAATGTTAGTTATTCCATAAAATTTTGCTGTATTGAGTTATACAGATACTTTTTATTAATTTGTGTGTATATATATCCAAATGACAAAGAATGTGTAAACATAAATATGAGGAACAGAATATGAATATAATTTGGTCCTTTATGAAAAATATATACTTCTAAAATCAAATTCAAAATTACATTTATCACTTTGCCCCAAACCCATCTGGTTCCTGACTTGATATGATGGTCTTTAATTCATTTGTCTCCCACGGCAAATACTTTTTCAGCCAATATATCTTCTGGGAGGTAAAAGGGCAAGCAATTCACCTCCTAAAACTAAACTCTGCTAAAGGAATCTGTTTTGCATTTTAAGGTCATTCCGTTGATATCATAGATAGATAAAGGACACGTAAAAATTAAAGTCATTTTCTCTTCAGCTAATAATGCCTGCCTATATTGACTATATTTAGCTGTCACCTTAGCTCTAATCATTAGATTTATATTTTAAAATAACTAGGGCAAGTGTTACCTATTGAAAAAACAGTTCATCTTATTGAAGGAAAACAGAGAGGACAAATAATGCTTGGAATCATAAATGGAAAACATTAACAACACTCCCAGAACTTGTAATTATTTCTATATTGGTAGTTTAACCTTTAGAGAAAGTAAATAGTCTCTCTCTCTTGTGTGTCTATATCATCTTCACAGCTTTTTATAGAGCAGTTCTGTTTCCATATTTTATTAGCTTTTCAAGCACAGACATTTGTCACTAAACAACTTCCCCCAAACTGTGGCCAAATTGAATGAAAATCATATTTGAGAAGACATATTTACAAATAAAGATTATTTGAGATTCAGTAATACTTTGCCTTTATTTTTGGAAATTTTATTCTGAAATCCATTGACTTTTAAATACATTTTTCTTTGATTATCTTAAAGTACTGAAGTGTGAAGATGAGTAACTTTATTTATAATAAAATTCATGCAACTCAAAAGCAAAATATCATTTCTTGCTTTTTCTTTTCAAAAGTCAACACTTTTCTTTCAATGATTTGTAACTTTTCTTAATATTAACACTGTTTTCTAATGCAAGGAAGCCTCAAGTGAAGTCAGTTGACAGAATCCTTACCATTAGAGGATTTTTGATATTTCTAATTTGAATTCCAATACAGTGAAAGAAGAAAAAAGGTGGAGATGAAAGGCAAAATGGGAAGTCAAGGAAGGAATAAAGCGACCTTGAATTAGGATAACAGTAGTTATAATGAAAATCCAAGGAAAACTGACGAATAAAAAAGAGTGTTAGCCGAATTCTATACAAAAGCAATGTATCAGGACATTTAGAAATAACTATAAAGTTTTGAAGCTGGGTGAGTACTCAGAGAATAGTAACTGCTATTGAACTAAAATATGAAAATGTTTTATGTATTTATTAATTTTCCTCTAAGATTCCACAGTTATGTTTTCTGTCCTTTGGAAAAAGTCAATCAAAAGTAAGAAAGAAAAATTAAACAGACAAAAAAGAGAATTAAATATAAGACACAAGGAAAGAATTCTAATGCATTTCCAAATCCTAGTTTTAATTCTTCCTGTGGTTTAGTTGTATGCCTGCTTTATATACAACCTTGTTGTTTCATAGCATCTGGATATCCTTCTAATTAATTTATTTTTATTTCAACTATATAGATTTCAGTTGCTGTTGTTTGCAAGGAAAATATTACCAAGAAATACAGTAGGAAAATATACCTAGTATAGGAAGTAAGGTGGTCAGAATTCACATAATTACTGCTTGAGTGGCAAAAACCTCCATGCCATTTGCCTCAGGTGGGTATTATATAAATTCCATCGGTGTCTCCGATGGGAAATGCTGTCACACTAAGATAAAGATAAGACTTTCTTGAATCTCCCATGATCTCATTTTCAGAAGCCAGAATTAGAAACACTGAGGGATGAAGGTGTTTAGAAGGTATACCTGTGGGCAAGGAGTTTCTCTTTAGATTTTGAAGTAAAAATACACATTGCAACATGTAACAGCACACAGCCTGGGTTTGTGGGAAAATTATTTACAGTGACTTTAAGGAAGATGCAAGGGTGTAGGTCTTAAATGAGGGGAGGGAGGACAGAGACAGCAACCAGCACTTTACTGAAGGAAAGAACTCCCCAGGTCAGAGCACAAAGACACAATTTCCCTTTAAGGGCAAAGAATTTTTGCTCTTCCAGCCTAGGAGATTATTTTCTGGACCAATATTGTCCAATAAAAATATAATACATGTTATTTTATACTTTCTAGTAGCCCCATTAATGAAAGTAAAAAGAAACAGGTGAAATGAACTTAATAATATATTTTAATTCAATATATCCAAAATATTATTTCAAATTATAATCAACATAAAAATATTAGAGATACTTAACTTTTTTTGTACCAAGTCTTCAAAGTCCAAAGTGTACTTTACACTCACATCACATCTGAACTTGGACTGTCCACATTTCTCTGCTCAGTAGCCACATGTTGGAAGTAAATGCTCAGTGCTGCCAAGTGAAAATAGCACTCAGGCAAAAGTTTTCTCAGCAAGGCAATTTACTTCTATAGAAAGGCGCATCTTGCAGATGGAGCAATGGTGAGAACACACTGAACAAAGGAAAGCAGGGGCTTTTATTTCTAATGCAATTGGTTTCTACTACTGTGTCCTGTCTCCACTCGCTGGAGCTGGACCGCACAATCTAAACTGGTCGTGGTTAGCTAATTTGAAGGGAGCAGGAAGGGGGTTACACTGGTGGAAAGGGCAGTTTTGGCGGGACGAGCCATTGTGGCAGGAAGGGTAAATTACAGGGTGAGCAGCAGATGTGGAATGTAGGCTCTGGAGATAAGGACTGACAGGGGAGTTGTTTACTGAAACCAGGACAGGGAGACAGAAAGAGTAAGAAAGTATGGCCTTGAAAGCAGGAAACAAAGAACAAGGGAACTTGGACAAGCTAAACCTTTGAAGAAATTCTTACTGTGTTTAACACACATGAGGTGTGTGACTTCAGTCCTGAACCCCACAAGCCTGTACAGTAGAGTGGTGGGCAACGCTGCTGTCCTGCTCCTCTTCAAATATTCCTTTTAACTTATCTTTTCTTTCAACTCCTGTATTATATAGAGTCAGTTGGAAGAGGTTCATTTTAAAATCTTGCCATAAATTGATTTAAAATTCCAGAACAAAATGAGCCAAAATCAGACCTTACCAAATCAAACACTCCCTTCAAGAGTTCCTAAACTTTAAGTGGAATTTTAATCTAAAGTTACTGTAGGATTTTCCTTGGAAACCATTGAGGTGGACTGTATGAGTTTTCTTTGTGGGTTGTCCTGAAAGGTGAACACTATCCTTTCCCACCTCCCAGGACATGTTTTGTAGGTGAATCTCCACACAGTGGTGGAGAATAGAACATAGACTCGACCAGTTAGCTAACCAAATAAAGTCCATAACTAGATGTATGTTAAAAGATCAGCATACATTTCCTTTTTCTCATCAAACTATCAAACTGTCCTCAGTTTGCTTTTACCTGAACTGGAGCCCATTTGTCATTCTCTTTTCCTTTAAAGCCCTTTTCAATATGAAGTTCTATGATTCCCAGTGCTCAAACACAAACACAGAGCACTATATTAGTGTTTGGTATACAGCAGTGACAAAATAGATGGTCTCTGCCCTCCTGGAGCTTATAGGCAAGAGAGTGAGTGACAGTAAACATTTGAAGTCACAAATTAGAAAGAGTTCTTGCACATTACAGAGTGTGGAAAGGTGTCTCTGAGGTATCCAGCATTTTTCTGTGATAGAAAGCTATCATTTGATTTCCTACCACAACAAAGAAACAACAAATAGCACAAGCCAAATCAAAAGGCCTTTCTTTTTACTTCTCTCATCCCTTCTTCTAACACTGTCCTGTAGAAGTCAACAGTAGAACAGCTGATGGGAAAGGAAATCAAATAATGAGAGCAAATGAGAAAAAAAAATTTCCAGGGCCTGCCTTTTGCTCTCCCTGTTGAGTCCAGGGCCACAAGTAAAGGCTGAGTTGTCATTCTCTTTTCCTTTAAAGCCCTTTTCAATATGAAGTTCTATGATTCTATGATTCCCAGTGATTATGGGGAAGAAACACTGAAGTAGGCGAGAGAGTAGGTTTTAACTCAGATTAGTTTATACGTTGTGGTACATTTTTAAACTGGACAATTCTAATTGAATTCTAATGTTAATAGCCCCATATTACCAGAGAATTATGGATTTCCCCAAAATGTTGCTAAGAGGTTGGGCATGGAGATCCGGGAGAGTGAGTGTGTAGGTAGTGGTAGGAGAGGACAAAACAGTAGTATTCTTCTGATTTTGCCTCCCACATTTGGCATATTCAATAAATAACTTACAGCTGTCTTTCTCTGTGACTCCGTTACAAATTTCTTAACAGCACGTAGGAGTTTAATATATAACAGTGCCTAACACAATGCTTAGCATCTCATTCGTTAGTAATTCCAATGCACTGAAAAAGGAAATGAATGTGTTGAATGTATTTTAGAGCTTCAGAATCTCCTCTCTCTCCTGTTTCTCCTCTTTTCTTACAACTGTTTTCCATATGCCACCCTTTAAGGCTACAGATCTCTATCATCACATAATAATCACCTGTAAACCAGAATCAGTATCTAATAGGCCTAGAGTAGTTTCAGATTTGATTGTCTGAAATTGAATCAGAATCTATATCTAATAGGTCTAGAGTAGTTTCAGATTTGATTATTAGAAATTGAAATCCTGTGCATTTATTTTGTGTAATACACCAGTTACAATGCCTTGAGACCCCTGCTACTAGGTTCCTATTAGATTCTTCCTTAAAGTTTCCCTATTGGGGGAACCTACCCCCAGTAGTCACATAGGTTCTTTTCTATTTTTCCCTAAGTGTCAGCTGGTCTGAGAAATAAAGGGACAGAGTATAAAAGAGAGAAATTTTAAAGCTGGGTGTCCGGGGGAGACATCACATGTTGGCAGGTTCCGTGATGCTCCCTAAGCCATAAAACCAGCAAGTTTTTAATTAGCAATTTTCAAAAGGGGAGGGAGTGTACGAATAGTGTGTGGGTCACAGAGATCATATGCTTCACAAGGTAATAAAATATCACAAGGCAAATGGAGGCAGGGCAAGATCACAGGACCACAGGACCGGGGCAAAATTAAAATTGCTAATGAAGTTTCGGGCACACATTGTCATTGATAACATCTTATCAGGAGACAGAGTTTGAGAGCAGACAACCAGTCTGACCAAAATTTATTAGGCGGGAATTTCCTCGTCTTTATAAGCCTGGAAGTGCTACGGGAGACTGGGGCTTATTTCATCCCTACAGCTTCAACCGTAAAAGATGGCTGCCCCCGAAGCGGCCATTTCAGAGGCCTACTCTCAGGGACACATTCTCTTTCTCAGGGATGTTCCTTGCTGAGAAAAAGAATTCAGCGATATTTCTCCCATTTGCTTTTGAAAGAAGAGAAATATGGCTCTGTTCCACCCGGCTCACTAGCAGTCAGAGTTTAAGGTTATCTCTCTTGTTCCCTGAACATCGCTGTTATCCTGTTCTTTTTTCAAGGTTCCCAGATTTCATATTGTTCAAACACACATGCTCTACAAATAATTTGTGCAGTTAATGCAATCATCACAGGGTCCTGAGGTGACATACATCCTCCTCAGCTTATGAAGATGATGGGATTAAGAAATTAAAGTAAAGACAGGCATAGGAAATCACAAGGGTATTGATTGGGGAAGTGATAAGTGTCCATGAAATCTTCACAATTTATGTTCAGAGATTGCAGTAAAGACAGGTGTAAGAAATTATTAAAGTATTAATTTGGGGAACTAATAAATGTCCATTAAATCTTCACAATCCACATCCTTCTACCATGGCTTCAGCCACTCCCTCTGTTCGGGGTCCCTGACTTCCTGCAGCATTTCCCCATCAATTTTTGAGTTCTCCTGGGTACTGCACCAAATTGACTTTAAGAACAAATCCTTTTTTATTCTCCACTCTCCTTGCTGCTTCCTTCTCTGCCTGTGACCCTCGCAAGGCCACCTCTCTGCTTCATTTTAATGTTCTTAACTCTTATTCTCACTTCCACAGTAGGCAGAAAGAAGCTGTTTTCCTTAAAATATAATCTATCTAAACTGAGATAAAGTATAAATGATGAAGAGTATTTATTTTAACTAATAAAAGAAAAATCTAAAATCCATTAAAAAAAAGGTGTGGATATTCTACTCAAGGACTTCATTATATTTTGTATGTAAACTGATACACTTTTCAGAAGATAAAGAAAATAAAGATTTTCATTAGTATTATTTTAGTATTACTTTATATTTTTGCTCTAACATTAATTTGTGTGAGCCTTGTGATGCAAATCTATGTTCACCTGTTTAATAGTTTTGTTAGCCTTCTTTTTGCACTTACAAAAAGCTTTAATTCACTTGATTTTTTTGGTGGTGGAATTGGCATACTCAAGCAATATCAGCAGCAAATCATCACTAGATGGCAGCATAACTCAATTCTTAAATACATTTCTACTGGTAATTTTTTTCTTATTAACTGGCATTTGTTTCAAAAACTTAAATGACGAAAACATTATACTGAAATAATATGTTAGTTGGTCTTAAATATTAGTTGCAAATAATCACACACAATCTTGAGAATAGGGCCAATGCATTTGTTTTACTCCAAGTAAAGAAGGCAATAGCTGTTTTAACTCTTGAAGTACATTATGTAATACTGAAGCCTAACAAGATACAGACTGAAATGCATGAATTTTGGAATCTGATACAACTGAATTTAAAACTGGCTCTGCTCTTTCCCTGTCGTAAAAATTATAAAATTTATTATCGTTGCTATTTTATCTATCCACCTCAGTTCTCAAATAATCTCTTCATAATTAGAACCTTTTGAAGCAGCATTTTCATGGGTGCATTTTAAGATTCTTTAATGTAAAATGTGAATTCTTTATTGATCTGTTCTACAATAATTAAATTTCTATAGTATCTACCATTTGTAGTATAAAAATTGAATTTCAATAATTCTAGCTTCATTATTTTATAAATGCATCATGTGAGTAAATAGTATTCTTCCACTTTATAAATGTACTTTGTTTAATTTGTCTCTCTCTCAATGCTCAGGCTAAAATGACCACACACTAGATGCTAGATAAATGCCTGTTACCCTGATTTGAAAGCGATCACTCACTGTGAAAGTGATTAATTTATTCAAGAATACCACCTCTTTACTGAATGAATAAACAGAGACTCAAGATTTTAATAGACTTTCATAAGGTCATGCAATTTGTTGAGGCAGAGCCAAGATTAGAAACAAATTATCTTCCTAATATACCACATACTGGCTCTTGTTTTGTTCATGATCATCCACCATGACCCCTAGAAACTTTAGACATAATTATTCCCTCCTTCATCCTTGCCCACAAAACTTAATCACAGATTCATGTCAAATCTATCTCCAAAAGCCTCTTGAATCCATCGCATTTTATTCATCCACATTTCCAATCTTTAGTGAGAACCTTTATTAAGTCACCTGTATAATTATGTTAGTATCTGAAATGATCTCCTGTTCCAGCCAGGGATTTCTACCATCTTACTATTTTCCTCCTTGAAATATTCTAGTTCACTTTGATGTAAATGGGAGTGTAAATCAGTGTGCTCTCAAGAGCATATTATTTTTAGTTCTCAAAATTTGTAAGAAGTGACCCACATCCTTACAATAAAGATAATGTGTTAATCTCAATATTTAAATGTCCTGGGGACTAAGTGGACACATCTCTTCATCTCATTAGAGATGTTTTATGTAACTAAAAATTTAAAAAATTGAAAAAGTAAGGAAGAAGAAGGAAAGTCGAGCTGCTTTTGTCTTCCTTTTGGCTTCCTTTTCTGCATCATTGAAACTTTAGGAGAAAGTTAGAAAACTCTTCTTTCACTGCACTGATACCTCTTGCTGAATCTAGTCAGAGATTGTGCCTCCCAGATGACAAGGGAGACAAAAGTGGAGTGATACATTTCATCCCGGGTATTATGCAGGTTCCCAATAAAACAAACAAAAAAAGGAAAACAATAAGTGGTCATCTCATCTAAAGACAGCAAAATCTTTCTAAATGAAAGCTTAGGATAATTGAGCTATAACACATGTCAAAATGAAAATTGCACCAAAGTCAAACAGGCCAGGAAGATTTTATTCAAGATGATTGTAATAGGAGAGAGAGGCCAGAACTCAGTTGGAACTCAACTCCAGTGAAACCCAGGGCTGGAGAGTTTTTAGGAGCTGAGGTTGAGGCTGCTGAGGTTGGGGGAGCTGAGGCGGGCTGCCCTTTGTCGGCTAATTGGCATTACCTCAGGGAAAAGCAAACTCTCTCATATTTTTATGACAGGAGGTACTTTTGCAACTTGGAACAAGGGGCCTTGCCTCCAAAGTTAGGCTCCTGCTTTCCCACAGAAGCTGGGAGACAGAGACACTATCTCTTTTGGTGATTATGGTTCAAAGAGGTGGCTCCCAGGTTCTTAGGAAAAACATTCCTGAATTGTGTAACTGGCAAGAGGCTTTTAAAAATACATTTCCGAGGACCAGAAAAGCAATTTAAAATTAAAAATCTCCTAAAGTAAACGCTCTAAGAAAAGGGAGGACAGAGGCCTAGAGTCAAGGAGCTAAATTAATTAAATTAATGTTTAATCAAGCTGAAGGGAACGGCAAGGTCTTCTTGGTCACAACTGATTATCAATACGCTCTCCAGCAGAAAGTCTTAAAAAGAGATGAAAAGAGCCTACCGTGAGAAAACAAACAAACAAAAACCATAACAAAACACAGTACTGCAATAAAGAACCATCATGCAACCCGAAGGGCAGATAATAGAGTTTAGCTGAATCTCTGCCCTATGTGAATTTTAAGAACAAATACAAAAACAAAAGTACAATATAGGCCTAAGAAAAATTACATCAAGGCAGAAAAGAAAACACCACCATGAAGACTTAGAGAAAATGCAGGCCTTTAGATGATTTAGTAAGAAACTAAAGAAAAATTTTAAAAAGTGCATCATTATGAATTAAGAAGATACAACTCTGATGAAATAGCAATAAGTATTCATAAAAGACTAATAGACAAACATCAATTCAAAATGTGAAAAATAATTGGATGAGAAGGATCTAACGAGCTATAAAATAAGCTAAAATAAAATATAAAGTAAATTATATATAAAGGTATTGATATTCCCTAATATAATACATTTCATGAATAGGATAAACAAAAACACTTAAAATAATAAATAATATTTATTAAGTGCTCTTTAAGTGTTAAAAGTCTTGATTTCTTAAAAAATCAATAAATTAAAGTGTTAGAAATACTGGAATATATATATTTAACATTATTAGAAAAAATAAGCCTAGGTCAATATGCCCTCATCCACTCTCACACATTTCTGTGTTTTTAATTATTTTGAGTTTCTTTTTTTTATTTTTTTGTATGTTTATCTCATTTAATAATGTTAGAGATTTCTCTTCAATTGCCTGATAATACTTGGCTGTTCCTTCATATTTAAGAATAGCACTATTGCAAACTCTGTGTGCATGAGTAGCCTTGTCAGCTAGTGGCCTTTCTTATAGGATCATCTGAATGAACTAGTTCAGGAAGGGTCTCCATCAGTAGGTGCGTTCTTACACTGTTCAGTTTTGCTTGAAATGAATTTTTAGTTCTTCTGACCATCAGGAGTTGGGATGAGGGAAAAAGGAAATGAGTAAAAGTAAATTCTTAATTATTCCTTCAGTTATTTTAGTATTCAGAGCCAGACTTTCATGGTTAAGTATACAGATTAAATTATCCCACTTTCAACAAGATTCTCCCTCTGAGTAGAGAATCTTTCCATTTCAAATTTTCCAGAGAATAGAAAACATCCACACTTCTGCAAGGATAAGCGAGCAGGGGAGCATCAAGGGAGGGAAGAGATAATCTTCGTTTACCCTAATAATTTTATGAACTTGATGAAAGCTCGTCAATAGCTTTCATCAATAGCACAACAAAATAGATGTGTTGGGGATATGGAGTTTAGTTTAAAACTCAAGTATATAAGAAAAAATCCATTTTTATAATTTGACGATCATGTTGAAGCTTTAAAAATTTTAATTTACTATAATATGAAAAACTAAATTCATTTTTAGCATATACATAGACAATTGACTTAAAAAAATTGTAAAGGCTATTATACCTACCACCCAAGTTAAGATATCTCCTTCACTGAAGGAAATGTTATTCTGAATTTTGTGTTTGTCCTTTGATATGGTTTGGCTGTGTCCCCACCCAAATTTCATCTTGAATTGTAGATCCCATAATCCCCATGTGTTGTGGGAAGAACCCAGTGGGAGGTAATTGAATGACGGAAGAAGGGTTTTCCCATGTTGTTCTCATGATAGTGAAAAAGTCTCAGGAGATCTGATGGTTTTATAAAAGGCAGTTACCCTGCGCAGGGTCTCTTGCCTACTGCCATGTAAGACGTACCTTTGCTCTTCCTTTGCCTTCTGCCATGATTTTGAGGTCTCCCCGGCCATGTGGAACTGTGAGTCCATTAAACCACTTTTTCTTTATAAATTACCCAGTCTTGGGTGTGTCTTTATTAGCAGTGTGAGAACAGACTAATACATCCTTTCTCTGTTTTGCTTCATCCTTTTTATATTGTTATTTACACTGTTAGCTTGGCAAGTGTTTAAAAGTTATACAAATAATATATTTCTGCTGAATATTGTGCTTGTGAGATTTATGGATATTGATAAATGCAGCTGTGGCTGATATATTTTCATTATTATAGAACATTTTATTGTATTATATTATGAATGTACCACAAGTGTTTTATCAATTCCCTTGCTGGTATACTTTTAGTTTGTGTCTAGATTTTTCTCACACACAGTATTATTATGCAAGCATCCTGATGCATATGTGCAACAACATTTTCTAGGTAATTATCCAGCTAAAGAAGCTTCTATAGGATAGGAGCAGAGATTTTGGAGCAGAAATGCTGAGCTATAGAGTAAGAACACTTTCAACATTATGACGTTGTGAAATTTCAAGATTCTGTAGCAATTTATAGTCCTGCATGCAATGCAGAAGTGTTTTTCACTGTTTTTCATCCTTACCAATGTTTATGATTTTTAAAGTTTTTAATTCTCCTTCGTTTTTTTTTTTTTCGAGACAGTGTCTCGCTCTGTCACCCAGGCTGGAGTGCAGTGGTGTGATCTTGGCTCACTGCAACCTCTGTCTCCTGGGTTCAAGAGATTCTCATGCCTCAGCCTTCTGAGTAGCTGGGACTACAGGCACGTGCCACCACACCCGTTTAATTCTTGTATTTTTAGTAGAGACGGGTTTCTCCATGTTGGCCAGGCTGGTCTTGAACTCCTGACCTCAACTAATCTGCCCCACTTGGCCTCCTGAAGCGCTGGGATTACAAGCCTGAGCCACCGCCACCGCCACCGCACCCAGCCAGTTTTTAATTCTTAATCTAGTCAGTATGTTACCTCCATATTGTAATGTGAATATACTTAATTACTAGTGAAGCTTAACAGTCTTGCAATTGTATTTTTTTCTTTAGTATGTCTACTCCAGTGATATGCCTGCTTATAAATTTATGTTTCTAAGAAAATGTTTTTTCTTTTACTTATTTACTGCCAGTTTCATTTCTTAATATTCTGCATATAAATTATTCATCACTTAGAAGTGCTGCAAATAGAAACTCTACTGCCATGGCTTTGTGTCTTAATGGACATTTATTTTTAATTTAATCACATTTATTAGTCATATTTATTTGTTAATTGTTTTTTGTATCTTGTTTAACAAATTCATCCCTTTTAGTATTAGGGATATGATGGTCAAAGATACACAGTTTCAGTTAGAAGGGAGAAATAAGAGATCTAATGTTCATCACAGCTGCTACGGTTAATGACAATGTATTGTATAGATGAAAATTTCTAAGAGAGTAGATGTGAAGTGTTCTCACCAATAAGTTATAAGTATGTGAGGTAATATTAATTAGCTTGATTTAACCATTCCACAATGGTTAAGTACATACTTGAAATATGAATATGAAATACATATTTTAAAACATCATGTCGTATACCATAAATATATATAATTTTTATTTGTTGATTTAAAAAAATACATAATGAGGCTGGGTGCAGTTTCTCATGCCTGTAATCCCAGCACTTTGGGAGGCTGAGGTGGGTGGATCATGAGGTCAGTAGATGGAGACCATCCTGGTTAACACGGTGAAACACCGTCTCTACTAAAAAAAAAAACAAAAAAATTAGCCAGGCGTGGTGGCGGGCGCCTGTAGTCCCAGCTGCTTGGGAGGCTGAGGCTGGAGAATGGCGTGAACCCGGGAGGCGAAGCTTGCAGTGAGCCGAGATCATGCCACTGCACTCCAGCCTGAGTTGCAGAGTAAGACTCTGTCTTAAATAATAATAATAATAATATTAATAATAATAATAATGAAAATAAGTTTAAAAGAAAAGAAATTATTCCTGTTCAATGTTCACCTACATTTTTGTTTTCTTTTCTTTTCTTTTTTGAGACGGGAATTTCACTCTTGTAGCCCAAGCTGGAGGGCAGTGGTGCGATATCGGCTCGCTGCAACTTACGTCTCCCAGGTTCAAGCGATTCTCCTGCCTCAGCCTCCCGAGTAGCTGGGATTACAAGTGCCCACTACCATGCCCGGCTAATTTTTGTATTTTTAGTAGAGACAGGGTTTTGCCATGTTGGCCAGGCTCGTCTCGAACTCCTGACCTCAGGTGATCCACACCCCCCCGGCCTCCTAAAGTCTTAGGATTACAGGCATGAGCCACTGTGCCCGGCCTCACCTACATTTTTCTAAAGAGCTTTATTTTTAAATAAATTGAGCATATGTGGAATTGATTTTGCATATAATACATGATTAAGATATAGTTTAATTTTTTTCATATGGATATAGCCTTTCCAGTGCAAGTCATTAAATGATTAATTCTTTCTTCAATGATCTTCAATGTCCATTCTGTCATATACCAAGATACCATAAACTTTTAGGGCACTTATGCTTGAAATCTGGTAGCGTCAGTTGGTCAATCTATTTCTGTATTAAGATTACATGCCTCAATTTATAGGTTTATAATACCTGTTTATGTCTGGTAAAGGAATTCCTCCCAAAGTTTTGTTTTTTTAAAAATACCCTTCCCTATATCATGACTTATGAAGGTTTCCATTTTTTATTTATACTCAAAGACAGTTTAACCAACACAGATATTTATTAATCTTTCAATATTTAGTAGAATTCAATTATAATAACCTGGGCATATGCTTTGGTCAAGGTTAGATTTATTAAACAGTCTTTAAAATTTCTCCTATAGTTTTCAGTGGAGTAAGGTAGTATGTTTTTTCTTTAGTCAATTTGAAATTTACATTCTCCCAAACTGTCCCCATTCTATCTAGACTTACTTATTAACATCTGTAAAGTTGTTCATATTGTTCCTTAATAAGTTTTACTCTTCTCTGTATGTGTGCTTGTGTTTTGTTTTCATCCTTGATGTTTATTTTTGCCTTTACTGCCTTAAAGTTGTTTCTTAATCTGACTTGCCAGGTCAACTGTTGTTGTAATCACTCACTTCTACTGTTTCATTGTTTTATAAATTTAAATATTTCTGATTTTATTTTTATCAACTACTTTCTCCTAGTTTGTTTTGATTAATTTTATTGTTCTTTTCACTTATTTTTTAAAATTCAGCTCCTTGAATTGAATGCTCTATGCCTTTGTTTTCAATTTTTCAGTTTATTCTAATAAATGCATTTAGTGAAGCATGCAATTTTCTTCCAGTTCTTCATATTCTTGTTCTAATTGTTCTATCTAAATTCTTATATTATTATAATTTGTAAAATTTTTCTTATGTTTACAATAGTTAATTCTTTTATATGCTGACACTGTTTTTCAAGGCATAAATTTAGAAGATCAATGTGCCTTCTTACTGAATTTAATATTGTTTAAATGAAAACCATTTTTTTAACCTCAGATGCCTTTTAAAGGATCTTAGTCTAACTTTTTATAGATAAGAATGTTTTTCTTCTACAAGAAAATACACACACACATATACCTACACATACACACACACACAATATACAGAATAATAAATTAGAAACCATGCTTATTTTGGAGTGAGAAGATGCCATTTCTAGGTATTTGCTTATCAGCTGTGTAGTTGTGTGACTTTGTCCAGGTCACAGGAACTCTCTGAACTTCAGATTTGTTATCCATACAATGGGAATATCACATGTTCTTCACAACCCTAAATAGTTGCTGCAAAAATTAAATACAAAAATGTTATCAACAAAAACTTATTTCAACTACAATAGATTACTGTTCATCTTATGATTACAAATAAATAATTATGAAATAGAGTTGAGGATGAACATCTGAATGAAGAAATGTACTAAGTTTTGTTTTATAAAATCTTGTTGACATGGTGATGTAGTACTGATTATATTAATTTTGCGATTATTTAGTCTCACTTTTAGGCTGCAGTCTGCATATTTAAATTAGATATAATTTATATTGTTATCAAATTTCCAGCTAGGAAAGATCCTAGGCCCAGTGTAAATATGAATGGCATTTTTTTTTTTTTTTTGGCATTTACAACTGGAGCCTCCAATCTAGTTTTATTACCACATGGCTTAATGTTTTCCTCACAGCAGTCTATAGGTCTCAAATCTGCAGAATGCAAGACCCCATCTAAATTTCAGTCTCCCCACAACAGTTGAGACACCAGCCAATTTTTACTATCTATCTATCTACCCACCTGGTAGACCTGAAAGCAAATATTATGTGTGTATCAGTCTTTCACTGGGAAAATAAACTTTGGAAGCTGGTTACCACTGTACAGTGTTTTGAACAGCGTAAGAAGACTTTTTCTTAAATACTTTTTATTTGCACCAATGAAGTTAGGAATCAATATGCCTGCCTCTCCTGTCCCTCAGTTGTTAACAAAGAAAGAGGGAACATTATGCAATCTTACATTCCATCCATAATACTTAAATCTATCAAAGTGGGATCTTTGTGCCAAATATTGAAGTAAGGGCTTTACACATTTATTTAACTTATTTTAATTCTAATAATAGTCTTTGAAGTAGGTATTATTGTGAGGTCTGATGAAGGTCACATAGGCAGTAGTAAGTGGTAAAGACAAGTTTTAAATGCGGATCTACATAAGTCCCAAATCCATTTTTCTTCCATACTCCTCTTTAGCATCTCTTTTATTTGGCAGCCCTAGGAAATTTGGGGAGAAAAGTTATTTAATGACTGCCTGGTGCTCTTCTCCTGAAACCCTCCAAATTTCCCAGCTGGGATCACTTAATTCTAATCTGCAAACTCTGTCTCTTCTCAGCAGCTGGAAACCTCTCTTTGAAAAGGTTTAGGACAGGCTTGTCCATCACATGGTCTGTGGGCTGCATGCGGCCCAGGACGGCTCTGAATGAGGCCCAACACAAATTTGTAAACTTTCTTAAAACACTATGAGCTTTTTTGTGATTTGCTTTTCTCTCATCAGCTATCATTAACGTATTTTAGTGTGGCGCCAAACAATTCTTCTTCCAATGTGACCCAGGGAAGCCAAAGGATTGGACACCCCTGGTCTAGGCCAAGGGTTCATTTTTTTGCATTTTATTTTGTTAATCTTCCTGAGTTTCTGTACCTCAGTAAATTAATTACTGAGTTGACTAGGTTCCGTTCCCTCTATCCCATTACTTGGCATCGGAGGCATAATTCTCTTCTGCTGTTCTCACCAATACTTCTGGGGTCTGGACTCTCTCTCTCTCTCTTTCTTTTTTTCCCCCCAGCTTTTGTCACCTTTGGATGCCTGCTAATTTCTTCCATGTTTATATGATACAACATATCAGTCTGGAGACCTAGAAATGGACTTGTTACTGATTCATTATAGCTACATTTTGTCACCTCTCTGGAATCCTGTCCTTTACCCCATGCTAGACATCCTGACACCACCTATCTGCCTATCTTCATCACTGGAAAATGGGATTGTCACTATTGACTTCTACCAGCTTAGTCTGCAGATCTTTGCTTCCATCCTAGTGTCTGCCAATTTAGCTTTGCCTCTGCTCCCATTGGAGACTGAGTATTCATTCTTATCAGTGACACCTTTATTCAGAATCTTTCCGTTTGTCCTTTTAGTGACAATTCCCACCTTAATGCAGCTGCTCAGTAACTCGACTCTGTCTGTTATACGTTGAACTATTTCTCCACCTTCTACTTACTTATCAAATTTAGTACTTTGGCAAATATTTTAAAAGCTCAGATAGTAAAATCACATTGATATATGAATGAAGGTTAAACATATACACACACATGCACACACACATAACCCTTTGTAGAGGATTCCATTTTAATTTTGTATTTTGATATAATTTTAAACTTACAAAAGATTTGCAAAAATAATACAAAGAACTCCTATATATTTTAGTCCAGTGCACTAATTACTAACATTTTGACACATTTACTTTATTTTTTTCTCTATGTCTGTAGAGTTTATTTTAAACCATTGATAGTATGTTGAAGTCATCATGCCCCTTTGCCTCCTAATACTTGAGTATTTCCCAAGGACAAGAATAATCTCTTGCACAATTATAGCCTGGTTATCAAATTCAATAATTTTAATCTGAATATGATTATTTATTTATTTTTATTTTATTATTGTTATTTTTTGAGATGCAGTCTCACTCTGTCTCCCAGGCTGGAGTGCGTTGGCTTGATGTCAGCTCACTGTAAGCTCTGCCTCCTGGATTCACCCCATTCTCCTGCCTCAGCCTCCCGAGTAGCTGGGACTACAGGTGCCCACCACCAGGCGTAGCCAATATTTTGTATTTTTAGTAGAGATGGGGTTTCACCGTGTTAGCCAGGATGATCTCGATTGCCTGACCTCGTGATCCGCCCGCCTCAGCCTCCCAAAGTGCTGGGATTACAGGCGTGAGCCACTGCCCCTGGCCTGAATATGATTTTTTAAAATCTAATTTGCATCTATATTTCTGTGTTAATATTTTTCTAATAATATTAACACATTTTTTCCTAATGTGTTAATAATTTTTTCTAATAATGTTTTTGATAACAATTTTTTTCTCTCTTTTAAGACATGGGGTCTTGCTCTGTTGTCCAGGCTGGGGTACAGTGGTATGATCATGGCTCACTGCAGCTTCAAACTCTTCAGATCAAGTGATCCTCTCACCTTAGCCTCTCAAGTAGCTGGGACTGCAGGCATAGACTACTGCACCTGACTAATTTTTATTTTTTACTTTTTGTTGATATGGGGGTCTCACTTTGCTGCCCAGCTGGTCTTGAACTCCTAGCGTCAAGTGATCCTCTTTCCTCAACCTTCCAAAATGCTGATATTATAGGTGTGAACCACCACATGAAGCCTACAACAATTTTTTTCAGTTTAAGAACTGTGTTAGGGGTCCCCAAAGGCACCCTTAGGCTTGGTTCTAGAAGTACTCACAGAATACGGGACAGCTATTATGATTATAGTTTATTACAGCCATCAGAGAAATGCAAATCAAAACCACAATGAGATACCATCTCACACCAGTTAGGATGGCAATCATTAAAAAGTCAGGTGCTGGAGAGGATGTGGAGAAATAGGAACACTTTTACACTGTTGGTGGGACTGTAAACTAGTTCAACCATTGTGGAAGTCAGTGTGGCAATTCCTTATGGATCTAGAACTAGAAATACCATTTGACCCAGGCATCCCATTACTGGGTATATACCCAAAGGATTATAAAACATGCTGCTATAAAGACACATGCACACGTATGTTTATTGTGGCACTATTCACAATACCAAAGACTTGGAACCAACCCAAATGTCCAACAACGATAGACTGGATTAAGAAAATGTGGCACATATACACCATAGAATACCATGCAGCCATAAAAAATGATGAGTTCATGTCCTTTGTAGGGACATAGATGAAGCTGGAAACCATCATTCTCAGCAAACTATCGCAAGGACAAAAAACCAAACACCACATGTTCTCACTCATAGGTGGGAATTGAACAATGAGAACACATGGACATAGGAAGGGGAACATCACACACTGGGGCCTGTTGTGGGGTGGGGGGATGGGGGAGGGATAGCATTAGGAGATATATCTAATGTTAAATGATGAGTTAATGGGTGCAGCACACCAACATGGCAC
Source organism: Homo sapiens (assembly GCF_000001405.40). NCBI lineage: Eukaryota > Metazoa > Chordata > Mammalia > Primates > Hominidae > Homo > Homo sapiens. The sequence continues at coordinate 74,700,980 of NC_000012.12, forward strand.
ATGTATACATATGTAACAAACCTGCACATTGTGCACATGTACCCTAAAACTTAAAGTATAATACAAAAAAATCAGAAAAGGGAAAAGGTGCACAGAATGAACTCTAGGAGAAATCAGATATAAGTGTTGAGATAGCTCTTCCCATTGGAGTCATATGGGAGTGAACTTAATTTTCCCACCAATGATGCAAAGTTTTGCCTTCTAAGAAAGCTCACCCAAGCTTTGGTATCCAAGGTTTTTATTGGGGGTCAGTCACATAGGCATTAACCACTTGCCTAACTGACTTCAGCTACTCAGACTCCAGTCTCCACCCTCAACACCAGGAAAAAGAGATATTTATCTTAAATCACATTACTAGGATGCACTCATCAGGTCAAACTGATACAGTATGCCTCCAGGTCTCCAGTATACAGAAAACTCTCTTATCAAGCAGAGTATTACAAGGACTCAGAGGTGATTCCTTAGCAGACAATCAAGAGGTAATCTGAAGACAGGTCTTTCTTTGAAATGTGCAGAGTTTGAGCAACCTAGGCCTGCTGAGTTAATCGTTTCCTGCCTAGTAACCGATCCAGTATTCTGTACTACATTTAGTGGTCATGTATATTTAGTCTTTTTAATCTAGAAGAGTTCTCCAGTTTTTATTGCATTTTGAAGGGCAACACCAACCTTGGTGACCTAATGGATTATCATGTAAGCTTCTAATAATAAGTGTGAATCCCTTGAATAATGGTGATCATTATTCAAGGGATTCACACAGTTACAGAGTTCCATCCCCTTTAATTTGAGCTGGCCCCATTATTCAATTTAAACAAAATACTTTGGTGGAAAGGACAATGTGCAAGTTTCATGCCCAGGCATTAAGATGCTCTGCAGCCTCTACCATTTTGTTCTCAGGAGCCCCAAAACACCATGTAAGAAGTCTGGCTACACTACTGAGGAGCCTATGTAGAAAGACTAGGTGGAGTGGAAGAGTTCCGAAGGTTAACTAGAGCAGAGAGGTCCAGCCATCCATGTTGCAGCTGAGTGGAACTCCTTCCTAGAAGACCTGCCAGTTGAACCCAGCCTGTACAAGAAAGCTGGAGAACAAGAATACCCAGCTGAGCCATTCCTGATGACAGAATTGTGAGAAAATACAGAAGTTGTAAATTTGAGCCCATGGGTTTTGGGGAGGTTTAAAAATACATCAATAGATAACCTAAATAGTTTCCTTGAGATAATGGCTCTTGAGGTAACCAAAAAGGAAAAATAGTAGTTTTCATATATATAAGATTATGGTAGTAGTGAAGTAAACAATATTCAAAGGAGTACATAAAAAAGTTTTGAGGCCAGGTGCAGTGGCTCGTGCCTGTAATCCCTGCACTTTGGGAGGCCGAGGCAGGCAGATCACAAGGTCAGGAGATCGAGACCGTCCTGTGAATGGTGAAACTCCGTCTCTACTAAAAATACAAAAAATTTGCCAGGTGTGGTGGTGGGTGCCTTTAGTCCCAGCTACTTGGGAGGCTGAGGCGGGAGAATGGCGTGAACTTGGGAGGTGGAGCTTGCAGTGCGCCACTGCACTCCAGCCTGGGCAACAGAGCCAGACTCCGTCTCAAAAAAAAAAAAAAAGTTTTGAATACTTCTGGTGCATAAATTGAGAAAAAGGTGACTCAAAATGAACCTGGAAAATAAACCAATGGTTGAATTATAAACAGCCTTATACACCATGATATGGACTTCAATTGTATGAGTTTTTATTGAACTGTCTTTATAAAACAGTGCATCAGAACTGCATTTTAGAAAAACCACTTTGAAACATCTGTGGTAGATAGGACAAGTACGGAATCAGAGAAGTTAAAATAGCAGCTATTGGGTAATGGCCCAGATGAAACCCTGCACAAAATGTGGGAGAAATAGTCAATGTGAGCTTCTTATTGGCTGCACCTTAAATACACCAGCCTATTACTTCTGAATGTTATTTCTCATATTCCATATCTGTTACAATTGTTCTGTTTCTTCTAAATCTAGATATCTCTGTTCTCCTTAAAAAATAAACTAATTTGTGTATCTATAATTATATCTTTTCTTGCCTGAGAAATTTATTTATTTATATATATATTTTTATTACACTTTATCTTACACTTTACAGAATATATTATTGCTAGTTGTTTGCAACTTTTATTGCTGTGGCTATAAGTCTTTAGATGGCAGGGTAGACTTATCACTTAACCATTAAGCTATTTAGACCTAACAAAGTGCTTTGAGTACAGAAAAGTTGTAAAAATTTTATATTTCCTAGAGAATTTTTTAAATAGGTAATTTTTTTCTGTTTTCAGTAATGTTAGACTAGGTTATTCAGAAAAAAAAGATACTTAGTAAAGGCAGATATAACTCCTACCTAGAAAAAATTGACATAATCTTAGGCTTTAAATTATTTATATAAATAATGTAAATGCAATGTCTACCACACAATAAAAAATGATGTGGAGCACAAGGAATAAAGATAATATGAATGAAAAACAGAAAATAAGATGAATAAAAATATACAATTAAAATAAATCCAGAAGGGTGGATACTAGTGTTGTTAGACATAAATTGTAAATAATTATCTAAACAACATCCAAAGAGATAAAAAGAATAATAAATAAGAATATGAGAATTGGAGCACAGAATTAGAAACAAAGGCAATGTTAGATCCTAGGCTTTAAAAATATATTAAATTTGGTTGGGCACAGTGGCTCAGTACTGTAATCCCAGCACTTTGGGAGGCCGAGATGGGCAGATCACTTTAGGTAAGGAGTTCAAGACCAGCCTGGACAACATGGTGAAACCCCATCTCTACTAAAAATACAAAAATTAGCTGGGCGTGGTGGCACGTGCCTGTAATCCCAGCTACTTGGGAGGCTGAGGCATGAGAATCACTTGAAACCGGGAGGCGGACATTGCGGTGAGCCAAGATTGCACCACTGCACTCCAGCCTGGGTGACAGAGCAAGACTGTCTCAAAAAAAAAAAAAAACCCAACTATATACATACATACATATATATATATATATATATATATATATATATATATATATATATGATTGAAGCTAGGGGTACACCAGAAGATTAGAAACAGATGAAGTGCAAGGGATCAAATGGGATAATAGGTCAGAAGGAAATATCTAAAATGAAGCATTACGAGACAAAAAGATGAATAATAGAGAAGAGTGGCTAAGATACCTAAAGTATACTGTAAGAATGTCTAATATACATATAAATAGAGTCCTCCGAAAACGTGAGGCTGTTAATAAACAATATGTGAAACAATAAGGTCAAAGGCTAATGCTGAATAAATGAGAATTATATGTCTTTGAAATACCAGTTTGAATGAACAATTATTGGCCATCAAAGGATAAGTCATGAGGTAATGGTAGGAGAGAATAAATATTCTCAGGCCTCTGTTGCGTTCCTTCACCTCAGGTATAAGGTAAGACTCCACTGAATGAGGGTCTCATGACCTACTTTCAGGCAAAGTGGGTCAAAGAATGTCTTTATAGCCAGCTGTACAACAGAAAGGTGTGGAAGGTTACAGTGACCTTTTTGCTTCTACGGCCTTCCCAATCTCCCTCAGTTCAAAGTCCTTTGGGGTATAATTTTCTGGGCCCTGACAATATGATACAAGGCTCACTACAGTTCATCCTGTGAACCTGTCTCTTAGGTCATCAGAACTGTCCTGTCAATTGTGGTCGACCCTTCTAGGTCCAACTGTGTGATAAGAGTTGAAGGACTCAAGAATTCTCATACATTCACAGTGATGCTCAGCAGAGAGCTGGAAAGAATGCAGATAATACATGAACATTGACAGAAAATAATGATACAGTAAAAATCCTTTGACATTTTTCTATATATAGGTGTCTGAGACTACTTTCTTCATTAAGTTAATAGGAATGCAAGAAAGCATTGCCCAGAAAAGGGAGTTATGTTTAATTCTGGCAAGTCAAATACACCATCTTGGCAAAGGCTATATGTATGTGTGTGTGTATATATATACATATATATATATACACACACACATATATATACACATATATATACACACACACATACATATGCACACGCATATATATATTTTATATATATATAAGGTGTATACTTGAACAGAACACACTTGTAACTGTCATTGTTATTGTTGTTAAGTTGGAGCATATTCTGGATGGTGCTTATTGTTTTGCAGGTTAAAATTCATTTTAAATATCACTATTGAGAGGGTAAGTGAATGATATGGTTTGGCTCTGTGTCCCCATCCAATCTCATCTTGAATTGGAATCCCCATGTGTTGAGGGAGGGACCTGGTGGGAGGTAATTGGATCATGGGGGCAGTTTCCCTCATGCTGTTCTCATGATAGGGAGTGAGTTCTCATGATGGCTTAAAAGTGTTGGACAGTACCCCTTCACACTATCTCTCCTGCCACCATGTGAAAAAGGTGCCTGCTTCCCCTTCGCCTTCTGCCATGGTTGTAAGTTTCCCATGGCCTCCCCAGCCATGCATAACTGTGAGTCAATTAAACCTCTTTTGTTTATAAATTACCCAGTCTCAGGTAGTATCTTTATAGCAGTGTGCAGACAGACTAATACAGTGAAATTATTGTTTTGTTTTGATATTTGAATTTGGATCAAGTGTGCTTCTGAAATTTTTATTTCCTTTTCAATTTAATTAACCAGTCATAAAATTGAAAATAAGATAGACAACTAAAACAAAATTTATTTTTCAAAAGTAATTTAAAAATATATAGTAGAAAGAAGATACAGCTTTAGGCTTAAACAGTATTTTCTGAGAGCATGCTATATTTAGATTTTTTAAAAAAAAATCACATTGATGTTGAATATCTATAATAATTTGAAATCATGGAGCTTCTAGTTAGATATTCACATTCAGGATTTTCAACAAAGACAATGGCATATCAAAATCATCTAGGAAGAAATTTCATACTATGTACCTGGACCCTCTTCCACTGAGTAACAGTAATTCTCAAACTTGGCTGCACATTTTAATCAACTGGGAAGCTTTAAAAAATACTTGTACTTGGGTCCCACACCGAAAGACTTTTGTATATTTGGCCTGAGGTTCAGCTTAGACGCTAGGATTATTTTTAGTCACCCCAGGTGAATTTAACGTACTACCAAAATTGAGAACAATTTGCTTGTCAGAACTTCTGAGAGGACAGAAGGAGGAGATTTTTATTGCCAGGTGATTGTCATATATATATCAGATTGCTTTCTTCCAAAGTGTCACTTCAGCCAGCACCACTGTGGTGATGATTCTCAAATGTATACCTAGTTCTTAAACATTCTGCTGAGCTCCAAGTAATACTTCCAAACTTTCCACATCTTCCCACTCCACAATCAAACCTTTTCCACTTGCTTTTCCACGTTGTAGTCACTGGGACTATCATTCTGCTGAGATTCCCATACCAGAACCCGGTAAACTCTTTTTGAGACATTTCTCTCTTCCTCTCGCCCTTCATAAATGGGGTTCCAAGGCATTTCAGTTCTACTTTCCTAACATTTCTTGAATATATTTAGTTTGTGTTTCAATTATCAATTGCCATGAAACAAACCACACTGAAATCAGTGGCTCAGAGCAATCACCATATATTTGCTCACAATTCTGCAGCCTGGCAGGACTCCTCAGATACAACTCATCCTGCTTCATGTGGTATTAGCTGGGGTCTTTCACATAGTGGTATTAGTTGGGGTCTTTCATATAGATGCATTCAATTGTGAGCTCTTCTGAGGTTTAGTGTATGACATAGTCCACTCACATATCTGGCACCTCAGATGGGGTAACTAGAAAGGCTGGGAGCAGGCTGGACATCTCTCTCCACATCATCTCTCCAGCAGGGTAGCAGGACCACTTTACGTGGTGGCTCAGGATTCCAAGAACACAAAAGGAGCTGTCAGTTCGCTTAAGGCCTAGAACTAAACTGAGATAGTGTCACTTATATCACATTTTGTTGATTAAAAAAAAGTCACAATGCAACCTTAGATTAAAGGAGGGGAAAGCGACACCACCATTGATGGGAGGAGACATATGTGTGTAAAAAGAAAGAAAGAATTTGGGGGCACCATTTGGAAGACAATCTACCATGCTTCATTTCCACTATTTTGTTTAAGCAATCACACTATCTCTTCTTTCATCAATGGGCTTGTGTTTCTTCTACAAAGGAATCTCTATCTTAAAAGCAAGTTGATTGTACTAAAATATTACTTAAAAAAATCTCAATATTTGGACTTTCCTTAGTTGTCTAAACTCATCTCTTGACCTTCTTTTCTCACTATTTGCTCCAATAACAGAGTCACCTTTTAATTTCCCACATCATCTTTTCTCTTTAAATCTTGCCTGTTTGTAAGCTCTTTTCTCTGGGTAAATGCTGTCACTACTTTACTTGGCTATGTCATTTTTCCCATTCAGGATTTAGTTTTGCTCCATCAAAACTAATCCTTTACAGCAATATAATATATTTCCACCTCCAAACTCTGCTATCTCAGAAAAATCTTCATATGTCAATAGTAGCACTTGCAACTCGGCACTGCAATTGTATGCTTTTCCATAACTTTCAATTCATGAGCTTTGCATGAAAAGTTAAAAGAATTTTAATACAAGCATCATTATGTTTCTACACAGTGTCTTTAATTTTGCCACTTTGGATTTGGCCCTTAATTTGAAGTACCAAATAACAATATCATAACTGAGATTAAAGAAAACTATAAACTCTTATAATTATCTTTCCTGTCTTTCTTTTTCAATTATTCATTTCTTTGTACTTTTCCTCTGTAATCTCAGATATTTCTCGACTCAGACAAGTTCCTAGCAGCAGCTGTTTTCTTTCAATTTTAAACCATAAGATTTAAAAATTATTTCCGGTTACATACTGTCTTCTGCTACAATTTTTATTTTATTGATGGCTCCTTAAGCATCTCTTCAGTTTTCCAGAGTGGTCAGTATGTGATTTGATTTCTTATATTGGATTTCTTCCTTCAAGTTGTTAGATCTCCTTAAATAAATAATTTTGTAACCTATTCGTGGGTGTATACATATGTGGGTTCATCAACAAGTGTTCAGGCCTGATTGCTGGGGTCTCTTTTTTAATAGTAATTCTACAACCAATGGAAAAAAATAGCAATCTTTGTTTAAAAGACCAACATATAATGATAAAAAGATGGGGATCCACTCCCTGTGACATGAAATGCATGAATTGACAACCTAAAACCTTTTCTGAGACAAGTAAGAGGCCAGATAAAAATGGGAGAGGACCTCCCTAACTGCAGGACAAAATTTGGTTCAACCCAGTAATGTTTTGCAACTCCACAGTTCTTCTCCAGGGCTAGGAAAATCATACATATTCCCAAAGGATAGATTGAGCATGTTGGGAAATACACCCTTCCTCACCGTGCTCTTCAGGTTGCAAAACCATCCACTAGCCAAACCTGTATGATAGCTCCAAAAACTGCAGTCATTGCTTTAGATACTCTCCATAAAGTACAGACAACAAAGTACTTCCATCATCTTCTTCCAAGAAATCACAACTTCCACTTTACATGCAATACCAGCAAATTTATTTTGTTTGTTGAGTCCTTCTAGCAAAGAATTGAGAATGACGGTGAAACTGATTTTCTCTGGGATTCTAACTTCTCATAATTCCTGTAGGCATATTGTAAGCTATAGGTGCACAGTAAATGAACTGTGGCATACAACTGAAGTAGCCTTAGATATTTTAATAAATATGTAAGTTTGCATAGAAAAATATTTTTTGATGTATCCTTTCCAAATTATACTTAATTATTATTCTTAGGTCTTTTAAATCAGAAATTTATACCACTATAATAACAAGTAAAGCAATTAAACCTCTCCTATAATATTGACAAAATTCATTTTAATGTCTGTTAGTAATCATAAGATAATTCTCTGCTACCCTTAATGTGTGCTTTAGTTAACAACAGAAGTTGGATGCACAGTGGTGGATAAGAAGTCGCAATTCTCTAGGTCTTTCTTTAAATGTAAATTCTTTGCAAATAAAAGCAGTGGGGGAAAAAGTTATTTCAGTGGTACTATACAATAAAGTTCTCAGCTTTTATAAAAGAGACAAAGGAAAAATATATCTCTGCACTTATTTTCTTTTGGTACAAAAATGGTAGCATAGCAATTTAGAGAATAAAGTGGGTATTAAAATAATTTGTGGTTAAAAATGATTAACTGGGAAAATAACTTTAGAAGACATTCAGCTTGTATTTATTATAAAAAATGAGGCAACCAGGCATAACTTTTAAGAACACAGCCTTTGAAGCACTACACCTGGGTTTGAATCCTGGCTCTGTTTGCTTGCTAGAAGCATTACCTCAGAAAGTCCCTTAAACTCTTGGTGAATTAGCCTGTTTCTTTCTCTAAAATATAAATGAGTACCTATCTTGTAAGTCGTTTGAGGCTTGAATGGCTTAATATTTGGAAAATGCTTAAAATGGTGCGTCGCACATGGAAAGCACTGTAAAAGAATTCATTTTCCCTTCACTGTCACATTTCCATGATTCACTGGACGTGTGATCATTGTTTCTTAAATGCCTAGAACAACGCACATAGTAGTTATTCAATAAATGGCGTTAACTAAATGAATGAAAATGCAACATAAATCTTCCTACTTTCAATGCATATAAAAAGATGATAATGACAGCATTTTTTCTGCATCTATTTTATCATTATGGAAACCACTTATTCAGAGCTTTTCAGGGACTTGGCCCTATCATAATAGAATCACTTACTAATACACTAATATCTACGTCCAAAGTAATGTATTATGAACAACTTCAAATAAAATACCCTTGTAATGAAAGATTATTCCATTAACATTATGCCTAAATCACTAGTTTCATGTTTTAGTATGAATATCCATTTTCAAATCCTCTATTATTGATTGCAAAGATTTGTATTAAAATGTTACAGAAAAGACCACATTGAGAAATAATCACCTGCATCTATTAATGTATCTTGTATTAAAAGTTATAAGTATATTGTTATTTATTATATAAAAAATAACTTGTCATATTTCTTAACATCTCAACTGTTCATTAAGGTATCGTTTTAGATTTGATAACATATTTTGAAGCATATTTTAAATATTTATAATTTTCTAAGCATGTTTACATATTTTTCATTGCAAACCTGTGATAAGATACAAAATACATAAAGAAAAAAATAAACAACTATAATCTCTCACTTCAATCAATTTCGAATGTTTATAATCATATTTTTATAGCACAGAGATTATCCTGTATCTTCGGTTTTAAAGACAACAAAAATAAACTTTTAAAACAATTAGAAAATTTAAAAAGTCCAGAGAATCACCAAAAAGAAAACCATGGTTATTCAGAATTCAATAACTCCAAAATTCTTTTACAGATTTGGGTTTTGACTTTTTTTTTTTTTTGACATTCAATCAAGACTATTATTTTGATCTCTATGTGGGCAAATATAAAGGTTATTTAAAAGTAGATGATTGGCCGGGCACGGTGGCTCACGCCTGTTATCCCAGCACTTTGGGAGGCCAAGGCGGGTGGATCACGAGGTTAGGAGATCAAGACCATCCTGGCTAACACGGTGAAACCCTGTCTCTACTAAAAATACAAAAAAATTAGCAGGGTTTGTTGGTGGGCTCCTGTAGTCCCAGCTACTCGGGAGGCTGAGGCAGGAGAACGGCGTGAATCCGGGAGGTGGAGCTTACAGTGAGCCGAGATAGTGCCTCTGCACTCCAGCCTGGGTGACAGAGCGAGACTCTGTCTCAAAAAATAAATAAATAAATAAATAAATAATAAATTTTTTAAAAAGTAGATTATTAATTTCTGAAATTTATTACAGATTTTTGTGTATCTATTGAGATAGCCAAAAAATTCTTCCTTTGGTTTATTAATGTAATTAATATTAATGATTATTTCATAATTTTACAAACGAATGAACAATGTTAGTAGTCAAAATAGTTTTATATATTGTCTAAGCATCCAAATAAATAAAATGTATGTATAATATATTCTTTTCTGTAATGTGATACAATTCATCTAGTCTATGTAAAAGTATTAGTTATACTAAATGAGAATAAAACTCACAATGTTTTAAATAAAAAAACAAACAAACCCTAAGATTGTCAACTGCAGGTTCTCCAAAAGACCACGAAAAGAAAAAAGAAAAAATCTCACAACTGTTGATTTAGCAAAGCCTAGTTTATTACTACAATAAGGGAGAACACCACCTTGACTAAATCTTAGCCATGTCTCAGAAGGCTTTAAGGGTCTGGATTGGGGTGGTTTAAGGAAGCTAATTCAATGTAAGAGTCTGCTCTGGATTGGGCAAAGTCCTTGATATGATATTTATAGATTGGTGAACACACCAAGTCAGGGTTCTTTGAGACACTTTTGGGAATTGAATCAATGTTTGATATGGGTACAGCTTTGTGCCTTTGTTCTGAAAGGAAGCTGTTTAACTCAGATGAACAAGCTATTGTGTTGAGAAAGCTATCGTTTGAAGCTAGTGGTGAGGTTATTTACTGGTTTATAGCCTTATTTTAGTGAGCAAGAATTTCCAACTGATGAAGAAGTCATAGTTCCTGGGTCTGGCAATCAAGCTCTGGAGGACAACCATTTCAGTCTCATGGTGATAATTCCAACTCACATACTCTAATTAACAAAAGAGCAAAAATTGTTGTCTTTATCATTTTGTGAAATGTCAGGAAGAGAACTAAAAGGATTGATATTTGATAACTGTAATGTTATCAGTGGTAGTTAAATATGACTTCTAAAGCATAACTTTTATTCTTATTTTGAATTCATCTGTTCAACCGTGTGTATTTTTAGGGAGTATCAAATAAGCATTATTTAGTGATTATTACCAAATAATAAATGAAACAAGAAATCTTTGTGAAAAGCCTGTGAAAATATTGAGGCTCTCTGTCGGCTTGGAAGGGTGAATGAATTGTGTGGTACTTCCTAAATTAGAAGAGAGTTTACATAGCTAGCTAGTGGAGATGTAGGAGCAGTATATTTAAATTTCATGTATTATTGGCCTCATATATCAACAGTTAAAATGCATTGTGTTTTGAGATATAAGCTAGTATAAAGAAGTTAAGACTGAGCATGCTGAAAATTTTAATGCAATTAATTCTACCAATAACCTAATATGATTTTGACAGACTTGGAAATGATGTATATTCAATATGGTGAGCAAGTCAGGAAATTTCAACAAAAACAATATTAAGTTGTAAATAATGCAACCTTTATTGTCACACATATATCCATCCTATCTTCCACATTATAGGAAAAAATATTCAAAGAGCAGGTCATCAACTGAATGTTTAGCCATATTTGTAACCAACTTTTCAAAGACATATAGATTAGCTTCAAAAGCAAAACAAAAATCATCAGTTTTTTTGATTAGTGCACCAAAATATATGATCAGTCATAACTAAATTGAGACTTTTGCTTCTATTTCTGCTATCATGTGAATTTTTTCAAAATGCAAGGAGTTTGATTATTTAATTGCCATAACATTTTACTATGTTTAAACAGTGTGATACATTGAAATGAACATTTCTTTCCTCAAATAGACTGCCAGAAATCAGAAACATAAAGTGGCTTTGAGGATCATTTAGTCCAGTGGTTCTCAAAATGTGGTCATCATCAGAATTGCCTGGGGAGTGAAGTGCTTTTTCCAGACCTTTGCATCATAGATTCTGATTCAGCAGGTCTGTGATATGGCACAAAAACAAAGTTTGTTTTAAGGGTTTCAGGTGGTTTGATGATAAGTCACATTTGGAAAATACAAATATGGTACAATAGCATAGGGAAAAAGTACTAGATTTGGAATTAAAAATCCTATCTGTGTTGTGAGTTTTCAAGTGATTGAGACTTAATTCTTATATTAAATGACCTTTTTGTTTTGTTTTTCAGGAGTTCATGAGATAATAAGCACTTTGTAAAATTTAAGGCCCTAATTTTACTTTTGAAAACAAACCCTTAATCTACTTGTCCAATATTGCCAAGTGTCTTGACCAAATTAGGATCACAAAAATAATTATTTGCTTTACAAAAATACTTATCACTGTATGAATGATTTACATTTTTAAATGATTTACATCATATATGTTAATTTCTCTTAGTTCACTCAGATAATTACTTTTTGAAACTTAAATGTTGATATGGATTTTTCTGTAAATTTTTTTATAAAAACTTATCAAATTCATCCATTTGGCAAGAATTAGCTTTTGTTTTCTGGTCACAAACTTTGTGACAATTACTGAGCTAAGTGTTAGAGATGTATTTTTTATGCCATTAGGAAGGTATTGTCTTTCCCATGTGTTATTGGCAAAGTTGCAATTCAAATGCAGGTTTGTGAGATTAGAAAGCTGGAGCTATACTGAGTGACAAAGCAATGTTAATCAATAATAACCTAAATAAACACAAATTTTTACATAGCTGTATATATACGCAGTGATTTAGTAAGTGATTTAAAATGTTACTGCATGTAGGTTTTCAAACATAGAGATTGAATCTAGACATTCAACTCTTTACTCTTCTAAACGTACATAGGAAAAATTAAAGTAGTAAAACATAGTTAGCATTGCCTGTAAAAATAAGGAAGGGCACAGTGAATAAATCTTATATGTTTAGAGAGTCCTGCAAGTATAGGAAAGATGAGACCAGCTTAGCTACTGAATGATTGTAATTTAATTGGTAATAAGTGGCCAGAATCCTAGGAGAACTTCTCCTAAGCCCCATGATTGGAAAAGGAAGAACTGGGATGAAGGTGGGACTTGTATCAGTCAACTGGAGAACAATCTAACATTGACAGGAGACTTTAGGAGATTCAGTGGAAGCCAACACTAAGAGGTGATCAACCCTGTTCCTAACCAGGTCTAGGGGATACAAAATGAGGTAGAAATATTATTGCGGGAGTGTTAAAGTTTTGCTGGCCTGAAATAGCCAGCCCAATTTTGTCCTCTCCAAGCTCTATTGCATTGTGTCTATTCCTAGGTTCTATTATTTTATTATACTATATGAAGAAAGAGCAAAAAAGGGCTTGACTGAAGAGAAAGAAGGCAAACAAGAAACAAATACTTGAGAGCCAAGGAAGAAAGGGTGACCAAGCCAGTGGTTAAAGTGAGAGAATGTTTTACAGTTTTGGCAAAAAATGATCAAAACTGCGAGATGTGAAAAAGTAGAAGAAAAGAATAAAAAGGATTTAAGAAATTTTGCCGTTATGACTTACACCTCTCTTTTATGTGTTTCTCAGTATGGGGATGAAAATTATAATAGCTACTGAAGTGTCAATACATGGTTAGATATAATTCATAAAGTGAATGATGTAGGTAATAATCTTTTTTATTAGTGCTAAACCAGGATATTCAAGGATAGTTAATACTTAAAAACCAAATTTAACATGTGAATTTGCTAATATTGGAAGAAGATTGGAATCTCTCAAGTAAGAGGCATATTTAATGCTCACATAGTATCAAATATGCAGAAAAAACTCAAACCCTGGAGATTTGCCGTTTTCAGAGATGAAAATAATAGCATGATCTCCTTAAATATGGATGCTTAAGTTTGCGAATCAAACCTGTACAGCTCTATTGTAACTTTGTTTCATGCAGAGATGTTCATTTTGAGTCTTCCTTTGGGTATTTTAATAACCAAACAAATCAGTTTTCAAGTCCAGACTAAAGAACTGCAACATAAGATTTAACAGTCAACAAAATGAGATTTTTTAGGCTCAAATTATAACATAAATTAAAAAGAATCAGGAATTAACACACAGTATTAGACATCACTTTCCCTTCCTTCCTTCCTTCCTTCCTTCCTTTCTTTTTCTTTCTTTTTTTCTTTCTCTCTTTCTTTCTCTCTTTCTTTCTTTCTTTCTTTCTTTCTTTCTTTCTTTCTTTCTTTCTTTCTTTCTTTCTTTCTTTCTTTCTTTCTTGTCTCACTTTGTCACCTAGGCTGGAGTGCAATTATACCAATCTTGGCTCAGTGCAGCCTTCACCTCCCAGGCTCAAGTGATCCTCCCACCTCAGTCTCCAGAGTAGCTGGGACTACAGGTGTGTGTCACCATACCCGGCTAATTTTTGTATATATATTTTTGTAGAGACGTGTTTTCCCCACGTTGCCTAGGCAGGTCTCGAACTCCTGGGCTCAAGGGATCTGCCTGCCTCAGCTTCCCAAAGTTTTGGGATTACAAGCGTGAGCCACCGTGCCCACCCACTTTCATTTTAAGGAGTCACATTGTCCATATTCTAGCTGGTGATGAAATGAAACTGAGGGAAAAGTAAAGGTAGATTTGTTGCAAATATGGAGCAGGGCTGATCTTTAAATTTAGACTAAAGGCTCTAAGAAAACTTAAAATGCGAAAAGAGGTGGTAATAACACTTCCCTTAAGAAAAACCAAGGACTTGGTAGAAAAAAAGGGAGAAAATACACAAAATATACAAAAAAAAAGTAAAATGGCAAAACATAATAAATCTACAAAAAGCAAAAATAAAATGAACTCAAATACAAATATAACAGTGATGAGAATAAACCTAAAAGGATGCACTCTCAATTCAGAGAAAAAAATAGACGTATGATAGAGCTAAAAGGTGTCCCTAATACATGATACACATGAGAATTGAAACCATCTAGGAACACTTAAAAAACATAATTTTACTATTCTACATTCTGCATTAACATGACTTAACTAAAGCCAGGACATTTTTGCCCAGTAAGATGAAGTTAAAAACAACTTTGGGTTCATCTGAGGAACTTCACAAAAGTTCATTTATCTAAAGAATAAACTATGCAAGTATCCCTTGACAGGATAGCCTCTCCTCTAGTCTTAAAAAAATCAATTGCTATAATTGGCTTATTAAATGGTATTTACTCATAAATGCTCACTTCACAATCCTCACATTGCTGTATGCACCAGTTCCAACTATTATATCACATATTTTGTCTAATCTTAATTAAGTCGGCACTTGAAATAGCACCTTAAACCAGTTTCCCAAAACAGTATCAAAACTCTGCCCTCTCTTTGCAGTACTACTAAGACTCTGTCAATATAGTGGTTTCCATTATTGCAGTGAAAGTATTGGTATAAAAAAACAATATACCAAGGAAATTCTAACCAAAAGTTTTGGAGTAAAACACATAAAATACAAGTTAATATAAAAAGTTATATTGGGGTAAAAATATTCAGTATAGTTTTAAATGGTTCAATTGCTGTATCAAGAAAAAATAATCTCTCTGCTGAAATTCAAGAAGAATTTGAAAATTGAATCATGGGTTGATAATGTTCTTTAATATTTACTAGATTAAGTGACTTGCAGAGTATTTGAATCACACAAATAAAAATTTTGATTTCTAGAAAATATGCAGATGAATACAAGCAAATATTAGAGAAGATAAATTCTTCAGAATCTCACTTGGACCTTCCACAAAAATTGGTTACATTCTAGTTTTACAGCAAACTTCAATGATTTTTTGAAAAATCAGTAATCTATAGACCAAGTTCTCTTAATTTAATTCAACTAAATTCAAAACCAATTAAATTCAAGTTATATTGATGCTGAAAAACAGCAATAAAACCTGGAAAGAATGCTTAGAGCAGCTACATGAGGACTCAAAGTAAATAGTAGGAAAATTTACAAAGAAAGCCAGAATTTAAAGTAACGCTGAACTAGAGGTGAGTTTTTTCCTGTGTATTCACACTACTTAGCCCTGGATGTAAGCATAATTACAGGAAATGCCCAGCAGAATAAAGTAAGTACAGCCTCAGATTTACAATTGCAAGAACAAAAAAGAGAAACCACAGGGAAGTGGAAAATACTGGTAACATAGCAAGACTTGAGAAAAGTGACCCCTTAAACTAGCATATGAATTTCTGGGTTCACTCTTGACCTTTACATGCATAGATCTGTTTGAGTGTTAAACACCGTTACAAAGACTTTGAGAGGTGAATTAATATGTAAAGCAGATTCCATATTGGTTCTGAGTGATCCACATGAAGGACTGATCCTAATAAGACTGCAAATGCTCTGAAAATTGAACTGACCTTAGACTCACAATCACAGCCCATACAGAGAAGACAGGCTGAAGCTGTGGTCTGAGCCTAACCAGGACAATTGACTCCTAAAACAAAATACCAACATTCTCCAGTGGATTTAATCAAAATCCAGAGTCTCATAACATAAAATTCAAAATGTTCAGGAAACAATTCAACATTATTCAACATATAAAGAAAGAGGAAAATATCAACTTACAGTTGAAAAGGCAATCAACAGATGCCAACACCAACATGACACAGATATTAGAATTATCTGATAAATACTTTAAAGTAACTCTGATAAAAACGTTAAGGCAACTGAAAGCAAATCCTCTTAAAGTGGATGGAAAGATAAACATTCTCAGCAAAGAAATAAAAGACACAAAGAAGAACCAAATGAAAATTTTGGAATTGAAAGATAAAATGACAAATAAAAAATACTCAAGTTGGGCTTAATAGCAGAATGGTTATGACAAAGGACTCAGTCAATGAACTTGAAGATAAATCAACAAACATTATTCTGAATATGTTAGAAAATAGATTGCAAAAAATTAACACAGCCCCAGGGACTGTGGGACAATTCAAAGGTTCAATTATTGGGTCATTAGAAGTCTCAGAAGGAGAAGAGCAAGAGTACAGTGCTGAAAAATATTCA
Source organism: Homo sapiens (assembly GCF_000001405.40). NCBI lineage: Eukaryota > Metazoa > Chordata > Mammalia > Primates > Hominidae > Homo > Homo sapiens. The sequence goes on from NC_000012.12 coordinate 74,717,703, forward strand.
CAGAAATATGATTCAAAACTACCCAAATTTACTGAAAGACTTAAACCTACAAAGATGCAAGAAGCTTAGTGAAGCCCAAAAAGTATAAATCCAAATAACTCCATGTTCAAGCTTATTATATTGGGAATAAAAGGACATAAAAGCAGCCAAGTTATAATGATACATTTTTCTTTCTTTCTTTCTTTTCTTTCTTTCTTTCTTTCTTTCTTTCTTCCTTTCTTTCTTTCTTTCTTTCTTTCTTTCTTTCTTTCTTTCTTTCTTTCTTTCTTTCTTTCTCTCTCTCTTCCTTTCTTTCTTTCTCTCTCTCTTTCTCTCTTTCTTTCTTTCTCTTTCTTTCTTTCTTCCTTTCTTCTCTCTCTCTCTCTCTTTTTTTTTTTTTGACAGAATCTCACTCTGTCACCAGGCTGGAGTGCAGTGGCACGATCTTGGCTCACTGCAACCTCCGCCTCTCAGGTTCAAGCAATTCTCTAGCCTCAGCCTCCAGAGTAGCTGGGACTACAAGTGCGCACCACCACACCCAGCTAATTTTTTTGTATTTTTAGTAGAGATGTGGTTTCACCATGTTGGCCAGATGGACTCTATGGCCTCATGATCCACCCGCCTCAGGCTCCCAAAGTGCTGGGATTACAGGAGAGAGCCACCGCGCCTGTCTTCTTCTTCTTCTTCTTTTTTTTTTTCTTCTTTTTTGAGACATGGTCTTGCTATGTTTCTGTTGCCCAGGCTGGAGTTCAGTGGCTATTAACAGGCTTGATCATAGTTTACTAACACTTTAACTTCTGGTCTCAAGCAATCCTCCAGCCTCAACTTCCTGAGTAACTGGGACTACAGGTGTATGCCACTGTGCCCATCTGAAATAAAAACATCCTTAAATGAAGAAAAATAAAAAAGAATTTGTTGACAGGAGACCTTCTTTAAAACAAATGCTAAAACAACTTCTTCAAATAGCAAAGAAATGCTAGCATAAGGAAACTTGGATCATCAGGAATAAAGGAAGAGCAGCAGAAATAGTAAATACTTAGGTAAATATAATAGACTATTCTTTTGTTCTTTATTTCTTTAAAATATGCTTGAAAGTTGAAAGTAAAACTTTAACACTGTGGTGGGCTTCTCTATTTATATGTTAATAGAGAACTATAACAGTAAGAAGGCAGGACACAGAATTGGGTTGTAAGTTTCCTATATTCTACTTGTAGTGGTAAGACATTCACTCCAAGAACACCTAAAATATGAGCAGTAATATAAGCTGAATTGTGACCCTTCAAATTAATATTTTGAAATCTTTCATCCAGTACCTCAGCATATGACTATATTTAGAAATGGGCTCTTTAAAGAGATCATTTAAGTAAAATAATGTCATATGAGTGGGCTCGAATCCAATATGATTGATGTCATTATAAGAAGAGATTAGGACACAGATATGTGTGCACACAGAGGAAGGACCATATGAGGACAGTAAGGAGGTGGCCATGTGAAAGCCTGGAAGAGAGGCCTCAGGAGAAGCCAAGCCTGCTAGCACCTTGGTCTCAGGCTTCCAGCCTCTAGACTGAAATAATAAATTTGTATTGTTTAAGCTACCCAGTGTGTGGTATTTTGTTATGGCAGTTCTAGCAAACCAATACAAGTAGATATATTGTAATATGTAGAGAATCCACTAAAATAAAATAAAATAAAACTGTACAAAGAGAATGTATCAAGAAGCTGGCAGACATATTAAAGTGGAATACTAAAACATGCACAAATAACCCAATAGAATGCAGGAAAAAGAAACGGGAACAAAAATAAAACAAAACCAAAAACAAATTAGAATATAGTAGACCTATACACAAACATACCAATAGCCACATTAAATATTAATAACATAAGCATAATAATTAAACGATTTTAATCATGAACTTAAAAATAACTCTGTTGTCTACAAGTAATCATATATAATGACATCAGTAGTTTGAGAGTAAAAAAAGGAATAAAATATACAAACACCCATGAAAAAAGCTGGAGTGATTACATTAATATCAGAAAAAGTAGACATTGGAGTAATAAAAATTACCAGTGATAAAGAGGGACAATGCATAATGATGAAAAGGATAATCATAAACATATATAATCCAAACATGTACATGATTAAACCAGAGCATGAAAACATGAAGCAAAGAGTGGCAGAAGTAAACAAAAAATACATAAATTAAAAATTGTAGTTGGAGACTTCTACACCACTCTCTCGATAATTTGTGGGACTAGTAAACAGAATATTAGTAATGACAAAGAACTGAAAAACTCTTTCAACCAATGGGCTCCTCTACCTATGGTGATGGCCTGAATAAAATCTGCCTTACCATGTTTTAACAAGTGTCTTTGAATACTTTTTAAAACAATATTATAAATTCAATGACGCTGTGAAACATTCTCAGTTATGTAAGAAATTAGGAATTATTTTATCCATGTACATATACAGTGTGAGAAAAATAGTGCAAAGAAATATCAATAACTTGACATCTCTTTTAAATAATATTTAACTATCTTAACATTTATTTGGAAAAGAAGTTTAGATATGCTATTAGGAAGGACAGAGGAGAACTGCTAGTAACATTACCTTACTGGCATTTGCCAAGAATAAAATAAAATTCCTGCAATTAACTAGATTTAGCTTCCTTAGAAGGTAGTATAACAATCATCTGTACCTAATTACTAATGCCTTATCCCAAATCCTCCTGTGTACTGCATAAAACATCCTCATTGAGTGATGTCCTGGTGAATAACTTCCCACTCTTTCTTTACACATTCAAGGCCACCTTACTGCCCCTTGGAATTAGCGCCCCTGGGAGACCGCTCACCTATTATCTTCTTGAATCTAGTAATATACATACATATATATATATATATATATATATATCTCCTAAACATTACAAAACTCCTGGCTGGATTGTACAAAACAGTACATTATCTAAATGTTTAGGTAGTAGATAAGGGTTTCCTTATCTACTTTTTTTTGAGAAAATAATTTGAATTTATATAGGAGAAAATATATATGGACACTAGACTTGCTATAGTTAAAATTCCATATGAGCAAGGCATATTTTCTGCACTGATTGTTGCAGATGAAGCTGAAGAACACTTTCCAGTAGTTGCCATGGTATCTGACATTATGTAGATGAAAAGTAAATTGTAATTGGCAAACTAGAAGCTGTTTCCATTTCTTATATTTTATTCTAATGAGGTTATGTAATTGAACTAATTTTATCAGCTGGTATGTTTAAGATTGCTTCCCAACAGACAAGATTGGATGATGTACTTTTTATTACATGACTTGATCCAATCAATATTCATATCTGATGTTTCAGTTATCAACTGTAATGCTCTTTTAGTTGACTAAGATATGGAACTTGTTTAAATTCTCATTTACCACCAAAAATATTTGCTGATGAAATCATTTAATCAAAAATATTTAAATGTAAATTACCTAAATTATAATAATAATTAAGCACACTTGAGTATATAGCCTATATTAAGCTGAAATGAAAACCAATTCCTGTGCATATTAATACATTTATATTTTTCATGTTGAAAAAACTGAAAACTAATGATTTTTAATCAAGGCATAATGGCAACTCAGGGTAGGACTAATTTGCATAGGTATATCATTTGATTTGAGTATAAAATCTGAAAATGAACATATCAAATACAGTAAAATTAAATGTTATTCTACATTAAGGACAAGCAATGGAAAGTTCCTGGCTTGAGAATTCCAACTGTAGGGGGACAAAATAGCATGAAAACAATAGACACAAAGAAAGAGAAACAATTCACCAAGATATCCAACTAGGAACTTACCTAGAGGAAAAAAATCAGAACAACACATGAAGTGTATATCAAGAACATGCCTCCATTTTTTAATTGATAATATATTAACTGTTATTATTAGCTATTAACAATCTGCTACATGTAAGACATATTAACTACAAATGCTTCATACCTCAAGGAAATCAATGAAAAACATAGGATGGACAATGAAAGACACTGGAATAAGCTTAAAGTTAAAGCTAAGAAAATAAACAGAGGGGAAAAAAATGTTGGTTTTCAAAGCCAGAAGCTAGCAGCTGGGCTATAATGGTGCGACTAAACATTACCCGAGCAAAGAATCTACAAGCAGTTAGAAAACATTACTCTATGGCTGTGGTGGAACAAGAGAAAGTAGGACTTCTCAGAATCATACATGAATACAAAACTAAGATAAAGACACTGTGTCTCTAGAAAACCAATCAAACATCCCCTCACCAGGCTAACAGGAGTGACTACCACCTCTTTACCAATGACAACCCAAGAGCTACATTTTCTTCCCATCTCCTAGAAACAAACAAGCAAGCAAAGATAACTGGTAGTTACATTTGCCTTGCATTCTGACAGCACTCAAACTGCAACCAAACAGAACCCAGGCAGCTGAAAAGTCTTAATGTCCCTGTTAACAGTGACAAATAAACAAATACCAAGTTATCCTCAGTTGGCATTGAGAGATGGAGAGATTGACCCCTGAATTTAGGGGCTGGGCTGGCAACTTGAAGTTTCATTGTTCTTCTGCAGTCCTGACATTCCCAGAGAGCTTGGGCTCTCTAGGTGGTCAGGGGGTCCTAGACAAGTCTTGGCAAACACACATGGGCAACTGCTGTATGTCCTTGGAACTATACAAAGCCCTTTACTTGCTCATTCCATTCTTCAGGACAACTGTATTAGCTTGGTGTTAATATATCCCCATGTAATATATGAAATCTGGGTTTTAGGTTAATCCTTTCCCAAAGCCAGGAAGCCAATTTGTGATGAAGCCGCAGTAAACAGAGGTTTTAGGGCAGCTTCCAAAGCACTGCTGGAGCCCAGCCCACAAAGGAGAGATGTAGGAATCGTGAGACGAGTCTCTCAGGCATAAGAGACTGAGAAAACTCTCAGAATTCCAGACATCTATGCTAGAAGCTCATCTGCAAGGTAACATATTTAATTTGTGTCCTGTGGAAGGCATGGAGAAAGAATTTAGTGGTGTCTGGTGGTTTTACTTCTAGGAAGTTTGAAGGAGACTCTTATACTCCTTCTGAAATGTGACTGACCCCCAGAGTGCACTGGGTGGGGGCTCTCCCACAAACGTCCTGCTAGTCACTCATTCATTGCCCAAAAGGTTAATGTGTGCCAACTAGATGGTAAGTATTAGATGCTGGGGATAGGACAGTGAGTAAAATAGACCATTTCCTCAGATAAAAACATTAACTCACAAGTTACAAAACAGTGATATGAGCCGGGACTAAGGCATTCCTTACACATTCCATTACACGGATCCCAACTTGGGAGAGCCAAGGGGAGCTCCCAGGGACACCTTTTTCATTATAAAAGGAAAGTAGAAAGGAGAAGGATGTTGAAGTATTTTTGAAGGTATAATGAACATTTTCCATCTGATGGATTCTAGTTCCTCTGTGAAGTTGGTGTATAGCACTTCTGTGCAGGGGCAGGGAGGAGGTGGTCAACATTTATGGGAAGTGGAGATTTGAAATACTTTTGAATAGGAAGAATGTAGGCCAAAGAAAAAATCATGTAATCTTTATGGGCCTATGATCTTTGCTTATTTGGTACACTTATCTATTCCATGTGCTGCAGTTTTACCTAACATATAGTAGGCACTTAATAAATAAGTGTAGGATAAATGAATGATTTTCAGGTGGCTTCTGAGTTGACCATCAATTCTACAGTATGTATGTATGGTGACATCCATATGCAACATAGCTTAATAGGATTCAGTTACTTACAAGAAAACAGGGCTTGCAAAAGCAAAGAGATGTGTTTCTGCCAGGGCAGAAAGTGATGGAAGGAGATAAGATGGAGTGTTTAAAATAGTCGGTTATATGACAGACCTTGAAGTCTATTATAATGAGAGAGAAAATGAGAGCAAGTTTTTACATCATGTGTTTAAGCCCATGTACCACTCACACAGATTTTACTTTGAAGCAGGGGGTAAATAAGGCCCACAGTGGCCTTGCTGTGAGCACCACCTGCCTAAGAAATGCTGCCTCCCTATGTAGAGTATGTCCCAGGAAGGAGGTAAAGACAAGGTGTTAGACTGCTTAATTTTCATACAAATTAAGCTGAGATGTGGGGAGCAGTGCCCATTCACTCAGCCTTTCTAAAGAGGGGGACTGTGACAGTTATCATCCACCAAGAAACTCAAGGTAAAAGATTTACTCCCAACATCCTGAACTCCAGACCTAGCCATCACAAAACTTTCACTTTCCATGTTTGTGATACATAAAGCTACTCATCCTTTGCCTTTTCTGAAGACTAGGTAGAGAGAGGCATGAGACTTCACATCCAACCCTTTCAGATTTCACCAGTGATTCAAATCCCACGTCATACTTTATAAAATACTAAAAAAGACTATATAGTCTACCCAATTAAAATTACTATACCTTCAGCACATATCTGTAAATTCTAATAAGCAAAGTAACTTTTTTCCTTAAGGGCAATTACTGACTTTAAAAGACATTCTGAATGAAATGTTATCAAATCTAAAAAACTACTACAAGACTGTAAAACTATGAACCACATGTTAAACAAAGAATAATTATCTCTTTTGGTATTCTCTGACATTAGGAATTGTCTGGAAGACACCTATGAAAAAATTCTATATTATAGATGTCAACATAAAAATTGAAATAAATGTAACTCGCAATTCATATTTTACCCAGGTACTGTCCTGATGCAAATTATGCTTAGGTATTCCAATCAAAATGCTGCATTAAATTCTGAACATTATATTTAAACAAAGATAATAACAAAACCAGGATTGAGTTGGAGAAATGTCAGAATAGGGATGAATCTGAAAACCAGGTCAGATGAAAAATGGTAGAAGGAACATTCAAAGGGTTCTTGGAAAAGAAAGTATTCAAGAGAATATTCCATAAATCTGAACTTGTTCTAGTGGCAAGAATAAATAGATTTACTTTTCTGTGTAACTCCAAAGAAAAATAATAACTACAATGGAATAAAGTTATTAAGAAACATATTTTGGTTTCAACCATAGAAAATCCTAAAGAAAGTTAAATAGTTTGGTTTGAGATGGCTTCACAGATAACTTATATTTCACCTTCTGGTAGCCAAAATCTAAGGGTCTACAAATCAAAGAGAGTTTATGAAACACAGTGAGAAAGTAGTTACTTGTTACTCTCACTAATAAAGCATACGTTTTTTGTATTTTGCAAACAATTCATTGTTTTAGAATTTTTAATCATTTTGAAAGAATATATTTTTCTCCAGTTTTCTCAACAAGGAAACTTACGCAATTTTTGTGAGAGAAGATACTAAAGAAAATCCAGGATGATTGGACAATGCTAACTCCATCAATACCCTTTTCTCATAGATAGGCACCATGAAACGAATAAACAAAAATTTAAAATATCTCTTATTTATTTGATAATGTCAATTTTAAAAATTCGGTATGAATTATTCAATAAAATATATCTTTTTACTTGTGGAATTTAAAATATGTGGTTCTTGTCTATTTCAGAAATGGAAAGAATTCATTCCTGAAGTAGCTGTAAGATAAGTACCTAGGCCTTGGAAGGCTCCCAAATTTAACTCTATATCATGTGTACTGCATAGAAGAAAGGCAGTTCATTTTCTAAATAGTTGGATGGGAGCCAAAAGCTTTTATAAGGAAGTAGATTTTGCTCTTTGCTATAATAAAGGAGGCAAGTATGCTTAAATGGACCATAAAAATAAAGGTGATTGAGCCAGGTCAGTGGTTCCCACCTGTAATTCCAGTTATTCAGAAAACTGAGGCAGGAGGATGGCTTGAGCACAGGAGTTAGAGACCAGCCTGGGCAACAGAGTGAGACCCCATCTCTAAATAAATAAATAAAAATGATTGACTTCAGTATCATTAGTTAGCCATTTATTTTGGCTTCACTTTATTGAATAAAAATAACACGAAAGAAATAGTTCTCAAAGGATAAACAATGACTATCCATACATCCACACATACAGGTTTATTTTTTGAGTTCAGGCATAGAATAAAGAACTCCAGAGGATCAATGATCATGGGCAAACAGCAAAAGAAGAAAATTGAACTATGCTGAAAGAATACAGAAAATCAATTTTTGAAAACAAAAAATATACAAATTTTGAAATTAAGGACATATTTCAGGAAACAGTACATACTCAATTTCAACTGTGGAATTTTTTTCTTAAATCATTTCTGAGACTGGCTGTCAAAACTATTTAAATTGCTTGCATCAGAAATTGTTCTGATCTTCAGCCTGAAAAGAAAATCTACCTTTGTGAAATTAGATATTCTATCAACAGTAATCATTATACAAAACACAAACCATCTTTTATATAATAGAATAAATATTCAAATATAAATAGACATTAATCTTAAAATATTTCAATAGAAAAATAATACAGGTTGACGAAAGCTTTGAGGACTTTTATGCAAATCTAACTTTGGACTCAGTCTAGGGCTTATTAATTTCTTTTTAGGATTCATTTGATGAACATTACTTGAGTCTGAATTAGCAAGAAAAGTAAGATATTTTAAAGAGTTAGGGTTATTTTTTGAGCTTCAAAGCAGGCAGTGCATGTGAGGGTGTCATGAGGTGCTTGTAATTGGACAGCCATCAGGAACTAAAATAAAAGCTGTCTTGATTGATTTCCAATTTACAAGCTCACTGCATTAGCTAATAATTTCCACTCACTCTCTGAAACATACTTATTAATTTTCATAGCATTTGAAACAGTTTTGTTTAATAGACTCCTGTCTACTGTGCCCCAACAATTCTGCACATCTGAAGTTCAACCATATGCTTAAAGTGGTTTCTGTTGTCCCTCTAACCTACTTTTACTCCTGTACTTCACTTTTACAAGTACAGAATGTAATTATTATGTAAGTTAATAAAGTAAAGCAGCATATTGTAAGAAAGCCTTTTTCTATGAAATTTAATTCCAATGCTTTGGAAATGCTTGACAAAGACACATTACAATCTTGCAGTTAAACTAATTAAGTGTAAAACTACATGCGGTGTTTGGTTTTTTGTCCTTGCGATAGTTTACTGAGAATGATGATTTCCAATTTCATCCATGTCCCTACAAAGGACATGAACTCTTCATTTTTATGGCTGCATAGTATTCCGTGGTGTATATGTGCCACATTTTCTTAACCCAGTCTATCATTGTTGGACATTTGGGTTGGTTAAAGTATAATAATAAAAAAAAAAAACTACAAAGGATGGGCGAACATTACGTTTAAAATGTAGAAAAATTCTTTATTCAGTTTACCTCACAAGAGTGTTTAAGTTCTTGTCCCATTAAAAAAATTAAACTGTAAATTACAAATAATACATTATATATGTAGTTTATTCAAGAAATACAACAATAAACTCCAATTAGCAGACCTATACACACAGAAGAAACTTTGGCATTCTATTAAAGAATAAGGATAATAAGTATACATTTATATTGAGTAAAATTAGAATCTTCATATATAAATATATATTTATAAAAATGAGTATATATTCATTTTTAATGATTTCCTGATATAACCAAAGTTTCAATTACTATTTCTTCCATATCTTGTAAAATAAAAGGGCTTTCTTCTGCCATACTAGTCTCTACTTATCTTTGGAATGAAATAATCACTTGCTCTTGCTCCTCTCTCTTTCTTTTTCAATTTTTAAAAAAATATCTGCATTACTTATCTATTTATTTAATTTACTTATTTTTGGATGAATAACTTTATGTTTTTACACTTAAAGGTTGATGAAAAACCATTACTAATCTGATTAAAGAAATTCCAGCACTTCAGTTGAAAAGTATGGTAGGCCAGGCGTGGTAGCTTACACCTGTAATCCCAGTATTTTGGGAGGCCAAGTTGGTTGCATCATCTGAGGTCAGGAGTTTGAGACCAGCCTGGCCAACAAGGCAAAACCCCATCTCTAATGAAAATACAAAAATTAGCTGGGCATGGTGGCATGCACCTGTACTCCCAGCTACTTGAGAGGCCGAGACGGGAAGATCAATTGAACCCAGGAGACAGAGGTTGCAGTGAACCAAGATTGCACCTGCACTCCAGCCTGGGTGACAGAGCAAGACTTCGTCTCAAAAAAAAAATAAATAAATAAAAAAGAAAGAAAGAAAGAAAAGAAAGGAAAAAAAAGTAGGGAAGTAGGGTAACACTAAACTTACTCATTAAATATTATTTAAGTGTTCTAAAGCACAACTTGAAAACATCCAGTATGAGTGTTGAATTTCAGTACAATGAATTCAAGACTAGATGTACATGTTACATGCATCAAGGCTAGATTACAAATTACCATAGTTGTAGTTGTCATTATTATCATTATCATCTTCTTAATGCTTCCTTTTAAATGGACTTGATGATCCATTGGCAATATTTTGTGGTGACTCCATATTAGTGGTAATAAGAATGCTTTTGGACCTAAATAATGATTGATTAATTGGAACACTCTTTACTGATGATGTTGCAGAAATTGATGCTTTTATAGCTGGAGTCTGTGAAGCAGAAAGCTGTACTGTAAACCTTTCTCCCTGTGAGGGACATTGGAGTCCATACTTTAGTTAAAACAGACATGATTTGTGGGGTGGTTGCACCTAATGTAGGATTACTTGGTCTGCTAGTAACTGAACCAATGCTTAACCATGGAATTGTTACTCTTCCTGCAGAAGTAGAAATCTTTTTCTGTAAAGACTTAAGCCTATAGTTTGAAGCGATTAAGCAATGTCTGTTAGGATATTGAATTAGGACCTAAATATGGCTTGATTAATGGCAAAGGAGTTTAATTTCTTTGACTTGCAATATCTAACAGAAAAGCTCTTAGGGGAGAAGAGGTATTAATAAAAAACCTGTTGGTTGGTCAGCTGGTCAGTGCAACACTGCATTGCCAATCGCATATCATCTGCATCAACAGTAGCTTTCTTAGACTGGCTTAAGTAAATTTTTGTCTCATCTAAAATTGTAGTCACATACCAGAAGTCAAACTCCAACATCTGATTTATAACTCTAAGTTCATACTTTGTAATCCTCATATCCTTCAGTATTTGTGCCATTATCTGTGTATCTTCCCACATGCTCTTGGGAGAGGGCATCTTGTCAGACTCCATGATACCTCGTGATGAGACTTCCCCAGCTAAATCACTCACATTAATGTATTCCATTTCTGATCTTGATGCAAGTTCTTTGCCTAGTGTTGTTTTTCCAGACCCTGGTGTAACGTGATGGCTCCCAGTGTCTTGCCTCCTGCCTTATTTTTAATTAATTTAAAATTATTTTTAATTGACAAATAAAAATTGTGTTAATATTGATATAACCTCAATGGAAGGCAATTTAGTAAAAGTTGTCAAATCAAACATGTTTTGATTGGCAATTCAGGTTCCAATAATTTAACGAATAAGAAACTCCTATGTACTTGTCCTGTACAATGTGATGTTTTGAAATATGTACGCATTCTGGAATCACTGAATTGAGCTAATTAACATAGGCATTACCTCAGTAATATTGTTTTATGGTGAGAGCACAAAATCTACTCAATTATTTTAAAAACCACACTGCATTATTGTTAATTATAGTCACCATGTTATACAATATATGTTCAAAACTTATTCTTCTTATATAACTGAAATTCATACCCTCTGACCACCAGCATTTCCTGTACCACACCCAACCTTTCCCAGCACCGGGTAATCACCATCCTACTCTCTGCTTCTGTAAATTCAACTATCATAAATGCCACGTATAAGCAAGATCATGCAAAATTTATCTTTTGGTGCTAACATAATGTCTTCAAGGTACATACATCCATGTTGTCCTAAACAGGATTACGTTCTTTTTAAAGGATGAATAATATTCCTCTGGATACATATACAACACTTTCTTTATCCTTTCATCCTTTAATGAATACTTAGGTGGAATCTATATATTGACTACTGTGAATAGTGCTGCAATAAACTTAGGAGTGCAGATATATTCAATATCCTGATTTTATTTCCTTTAAACTTATATACCCAGTGGTGAGAATACGGGATTATATTGTAGTTCTATTTTTAATTTTTTAAGGAAACTCCACATTGTTTACTCAATGGCTACTATAAGTTACATTTCCACCAACATTGAGTAAAGGTTCTGTTTTCTTCATATCCTATTGAACACTTGTTATATTTCACCTTTTTGATAATATTCGTTCTAATGATATGAGATGAAATCTCATTGTGGTTTTAATTTGCATCTCTCTGATGATTAATAACATTGAGCATTTTTTTCATATACTTATTGGCCATTTGTATGTCTTCTTTTGAGATATGTCTATTCAGGTCCTTTGCCCATTTTAAATTCAGGTTATTTGTTTTATTATTATTTAGTTGTTTGAGTTATTTATATATTTTGGATATTAACCTCTTATCAGATGTGAGGTTTGAAAAATATGTTTTCTTATTCGGTAAATTGTCTCTTCACTGTATTGGTTGTTCTCTTTGCTACACAGAAATGTTTTAGTTTGAGGTAACCCCTGCCTACTTCACCCTCATGCAGTTATCTCACCACAACCTCATGCAGTTTAGAGAGAGCTAAAAGTATTAGAGTGCAAGTAAATATATATGTATAGCAAGCCAAATACTTTTATTTAGTCCAAGATTATTAAAAGTTCTCCGGGCACTTTTAGTAAAAATAAAAATCTAGTTTCAACAATTAAATGCCCAGTCTAGTGTCATAATTACATAAATTCATATTCTAACTCTAAACTTCTTTCTCATTCACAACAGGACTTCATTCTCTCCCTGATTTCCTATCTTTATTGTTAGCTGCTTAGGGAATGGGCCATACATTCATCCTCCTATTCTTCAGAACTAGATACACAGCAAATAGAGATTTTCAGGATTGTGAGGATGAAAAGTGATGTATCCACTCTATATCAGAAATTCCATTTGCTTTCTTTCCCTTATCCTTGCAAACCACCACTGCTAATCACCACTATTGACCACAACAACCACCACTAACAACAGCAAAAGTACTTAACTATTTACAAATCCAAAAATTACTTGGTCAATACTTTTATCAAAGCTTGCTATTTCACAAGTAATTAATTGGCCAAAAGAATTTTCTTTTATAAGATACCAACTGTCAAAGAAGGAGAGAAGCTAACTTATTTGGAAGAGTTTGATAAACTCATAGACGTTCAGTGTTTGGTTGCTAGATTTGTAGATTTAAAAATTTTAATGTACTAGTAGTTCACCTATGGTGATTCTGTCTTCCTTGATCTACCTATGCCTACTATCTTTGCTTCCTCGTTCAAAACAATGATGTGAATACATGAATATTAATGTTTAGTCATCAGTGGGAGATGTATTTGACTCAAGTATTGACTTTTGCACAGAGCTCTTAGTAAGGGAATCAGTACAGAACAATAAGGTAAAGATAATAAATAGACTTATAGAACATTGAAACAAGAAATGTGGAATTGGTAAACATTTGTCAAGTTCTTATTATATGCCAGGTGCTGTTCTAGGTACCAGAGGTACAATGGTTAACAAAGCGAGCTACATTTCTGCTCTCATAGAACATAAATTTGAGTTAGTTGGGGGAGATTGGCAGAGGAGGCAAAGAAATAAAGAAGACAATTTCAGAGTAATTCATGCTATGAAGGAAATGGTGTAAGGAGGATTGCCTGGGAAGTTTGTGTATCAGGGGATACCTTACTGAATAACTGAGATCTGAAGGAAACAGCTACTCAATTTCCTCTGTGGACAAGAAGCCTGAGTGGATAAGGGTTGGCTTATTTTATTTATTAAAAAATAAAAATAAAAACAGAACTAGGATTTAGGTTCAGAATTTCTTACTATTCTTCTGATTGATTTTCAGGATAATCATGAAATATGAAATGAGAAAGAATTTATCTCAGGCCTTTAGTTCAGCAAGCTCTCTGACACTTTGCTGTATTGTATATTCCCGAGAGACATGCTCTTAGGGCTATTATAGTCTGATAGATTCTTTCTCTATCTAGAGTATTTCTTTTAAAAGAATAAGCTCATTATTTTCCTTGGTTATAGCTGGTTAAAGATTTACAAATCCTTGCTCTCAATTTTGATATATTTAGGTTGGCTCAAAATTAATGTGGTTTTGGCCATTACTTTTAATATTTTGTCACCACAAGAGCCAGGCAAGTCACTACATAATTATGGCAGTTTTCCTTTCCATTAATCATAGTTAAATAATCTTTTCCTAATATTATATATTAGTTTCCTTGATTGAGAATGTAATCGAGAATTTTCACTAACTCCCTGAGTGTCTTTTTATTACAGATGACTAAACTCATTCATTTAGTCACAAACATATATAAAGGGACCACTATGTGTCAGATAGAAGATAGGAGCTGAGCATAGATAAATAAACAAGCTGGAAATTTTCCTGATCTCATAGAGCTTGCGCTTTTGTTTGTATACATTTATTTTGTTAATATTTCAAAAAAAAGCATTTGATTTTATTTCCAGGTCTATAAGCATGTCTCTGTGATTTACACCACAGTAGTGACACTTCCTTCCACATAAAAGTATAGGCTTAGAGATTATAACTCTGCAAATCACTTACTCGAATTTCTCATTATAGATATCTGCAACTGGATCCTGTTGTGTAAGTTATTTTAACAGGTAAGCTTTTTCCTCCCAGAATGATGAAACCAGATGGCAATGATAATGAAAATAAATGTTTATCACAGTAGTCACAAAATGTGATTGATTTTTCTCTTATTTCAAAAAACTAAACCACTGACTTTATGTACGTTTTTTTGAGAAATGCAGTGGAGATTACGACAGTGTGTTTAAACACTCACCACGGTAACACAAATCAACCATATTCCTTCCTCTCACACATCATTATGGATTAGAAAGATGCTCAGGCTGCAGTGTCTCCACTGCTTATAACAAGAGCTTAATATTTACAGAAGCATACTGTAAAGTTGGTAAGAATGAGAAAATTTAAGGAACCCCACAAAGAGTGCATATCTTTAGTCTAAGAACGTTACAGATATTTTGTGTGAACACAGTGGTAAAGTTAAAATAACCTGTAATGATTCTCATGCTTAGAGAGGTCTCAGTGAAGTGTAACAACCTTCTTGGCTGATA